>NC_000009.12:34858484-35010000 GCF_000001405.40 Homo sapiens | reverse complement strand
TCCACACTTCTCTTAAGGTTTTTAGTCTTTTTTTTGTTGGCAACAGGTTCTTACTTTGTCATCCAGGCTGGAGCATAGTGGCTCATGGCTCATTGCAGCCTCAATCTCCTGGGCTCAAGCCATCTTCCCATCTTAGACTCCTGTGTAGCTGGGACCACAGGCAGGTACCACCATTCCCTGCTAATTATTTCATTGTATTTGTAGAGATGGGGTCTTCCCATGTCACCCAGGCTGGTCTCGAAATCCTGGCCTCAAGCAATTCACCTGCCTCAGCCTCCCAAAGCACCAGGATTACAGAGTGAGCCACTGCTTGGCCTAGACAAAGTTTTTCTTCGTTTTGTTTTTTTTTTTTTTTAACATATTTTAAATAGTAGATTTAGCTAGGCATAGTGGCTCACACCTGTAATCCTAGCACTTTGGGAGCCTGAGGTGGGGGGATTGTTGAAGCCAGGAGTTTGAGAACAACCTGGACAACATAGTGAGACCTTGCCTCTATAATTTTTTTTTCAAGGCTGACTTATAGTTTTTTTAGTAAATCAAATGTTTGGGCTTCCTGAGTCACTTTTTGTTGATTGCTTTTTTCCCTTCACGTGTGTATATAGGCCATTCTCTTTTTTGCTTTGCATGTCTTATAGTTGTTGAAAACTGGACATTTAGAACAGTATTTTCATGCGCGTCCATGTGAAGAGACCACCAAACAGGCTTTGTGTGAGCAACAAGGTTGTTTATTTCACCTGGGTGCAGGCAGGCTGAGTCCGAAAAGAGAGTCAGCCAAGGGAGATAGGGATGGGGCCGTTTTATAAGATTTGGGTAGGTAAAGGAAAATTACAGTCAAAGGGGGGTTGTTCTCTGGTGGGCAGGAGTGGGGGTCACAAGGTGGTCAGTAGGGGAGCTTTTGAGCCAGGAAGAGCCAGGAGAAGGAATTTCACAAGATAATGTCATCAGTTAAGGCAGGAACTGGCCATCTGGATGTGTACATGCAGGTCACAGGGGATATGATGGCTTAGCTTGGGCTCAGAGGCCTGACATTCCTGTCTTCTTATATCAATAAGAAAAATAAAACGAAATAGTGGTAAAGTGTTGGGATGGCAAAAATTTTTGGGGGTGGTATGGAGAGATAATGGGCGATGTTTCTCAGGGCTGCTTCGAGCGGGATTAGGGGCGGCATGGGAACCTAGACTGGGAGAGATTAAGCTGAAGATTTTGTGGTAAGGGGTGATATCGTGGGATTGTTAGAAGAAACATTTAGAATTATTGGTGATGGCCTGGATATGGTTTTGTATGAATTGAAAAACTAAACGGAATAAGAGAAGGAGAAAAACAGGTATTAAAGGTCTAAGAATTGGGAGGACTTAGGACATCTAATTAGAGAGTGCCTAAGGAGATTCAGCATAGTCCTGCCAGCAAAGATTATTCATTTACTTTAAGAGTTAAGAGTGGCAGTTTGGGGATAGCACCAATATCAGCTGTGATGGCTTGGAGAAACAGTGTAAACTGGCAGTGTAAACAAGAGCAGGGCATGTATGAGTAGTTGAGAACAGTGAATAGGAGTATGACTAGACAGAAGATAGTAGGGATGACAAGTTTTTTGGGGCACAGTCCAAGTTGGTCTTGTGTCTGGAATGAGACTGGGGCTTAATAAAAAGGAGCATCTATACAAGAGCTCAAATGGGCTGTACCCTGTAGTATTCTGAGGACAGGCCTGAATTCTGAGAACGGAGAGTGGTAAAAGTATTGTCCAGTCCTTTTTAAGTTGGTGGCTGAGTTTGGTGAGGTTTTAAAAGACCATTAGTCCGTTCTACCTTTCCTGAAGACTGAGGACTGTAAGGGATATAAAGGTTTCACTGAATACTAAGAGCCTGAAAAAATGCTTGGCTGATTTGACTAATAAAGGCCAGTCTGCTATTGGACTGTATAGAGGTGGGAAGGCCAAACCGAGGAATTATGTCTGACAGAAGGGAAGAAATGACAGCAGTGGCCTTCTCAGACCTTGTAGGAAAGGCCTTTACTTATCCAGTGAAAGTGTCTACTTAGACTAAGAGGTATTTTTGTTTTCTGACTCGGGGCATGTTGAGTAAAGCCAATTTGCCAGTCCTGGGTAGGGGCAAATCTCCGAGCTTGATGTGTAGGGAAGGGAGGGGGCCTGAATAATCCTTGAGGAGTAGTAGAATAGCAGATAGAACACTGAGAAGTTATTTCCTTGAGGATAGATTGCCATGATGGAAAGGAAATGAGAGGTTCTAAGAAGTGGGCTAGTGGCTTGTACTATAGCATAGCCTGCCTTTGCTGGTGTGTGGCCATTAGGCCTGGTGGAACTGCCATCAATAAACCAAGTGTGATCAGGGTGAGGAACAGGAAAGAAGGAAATATGGGGAAATGGGGTGAATGTCAGGTGGATCAGAGAGATACAGTCATAGGGGACAGGTGTGGTATCAGGAATAATGTGGGAGGCCGGATTGAAGTCTGGGCCAGGAACAGTGGTAATTGTGGGAGACTTAACAAAGAGTGAGTACAGCTGAAGGAGCCGGGGAGCAGAAAATATATGTGTCAGGTGTGAAGAAGAAAATAGATTTTGGAAGTTATGAGAACTGTAGAGAGTGAGTTGAGCATAGTTTGTTATATTAAGGGCCTCTAAAGTATTAGGGCGGCAGCAGCCACTGCACGGAGACAGGATGGCCAGCCTAAAACAGGAAGGTGAAGTTGTTTGGACAAAAAGGCTACAGGACGTGATCCTGGTCCTTATGTAAGAATTCTGACTGCACAGCCCTGCACTTCAGCTGTGGGTAATGAAAAGGGTTGAGATGAGTCAGGGAGAGCTAGGGTGGGGGCAGTCTCTAAAGCTGTCTTCAAGGAATGGAAAGAGGAGTGGGGAAAGGATTTAGAATCTATGGGTCAGCTAGGTTTCTTTTTGTGAGTTTATATAATGGTTTTGTTAGGATGGCAAAACCAGGTATCTAAAGTCAAAAGTATCTAACTATGCCTAGGAAGGAAAGGAGTTGTTGTTTTGTAGAAGGTGTTGGGGTTTGAGAGATCAGCTGGACATGATCAGCAGGGAGAGCACATGTGTTTTTATGAGAATTACGCCGAGATAGGTAACAGATGAGGAAGAAATTTGCGCTTGACTGAAGTAATGGGGGCTGTCTGTGAAGCTTTGTGGCAGTACAGCCCAGGTAATTTGCTGAGCCTGATGGGTGTCAGGGTCAGTCCAAGTGAAAGCGAAGAGAGGCTGGGATGAAGGGTGCAAAGGAATAGTAAAGAAAGCATGTTTGAGATCTAGAACAGAATAATGGGTTGTGGAGGGAGGTATTGAGGATAGGAGAGTATATGGGTTTGGCACCACAGGGTAGATAGGCAAAACAATTTGGTTGGTAAGGTGCAGATCCTGAATTAACCTGTAAGGCTTGTCTGGTTTTTGGACAGGTAAAATGGGGGAATTGTAAGGAGAGTTTATAGGCTTTAAAAGGCCTTGCTGTAACAGGTGAGTGATAACAGGCTTTAATCCTTTTAAAGTGTGCTGTGGGATGGGATATTGGCATTGAGCGGGGTAAGAGTGATTAGGTTTTAATGAGATGGTAAGGGGTGGATGATTGGTTGCTAAGGAGGGAGTAGAGGTGTCTTATACTTGTGGGTTAAGGTGGGGAGATACAAGGGGAGGATGTGAAGGAGGCTTTGAACTGGGGGAAAAGGTGGCAATGAGGTGTGGCTGTAGCCTAGGAACAGTCAGGGAAGCAGATAATTTAGTTAAAGTGTCTCAGCCTAATAGGGGAACTGGGCAGGTGGGGATAACTAAAAAGGAGTGCTTAAAAGAGTATTGTCTAAGTTGGCACCAGAGTTGGGGAGTTTTAAGAGGTTTAGAAGCCTGGCCGCCAATACCTACAACAGTTATGGAGGCAAGGGAAACAGGCCCTTGAAAAGAAGGTAATGTGGAGTGGGTAGCCTCCATATTGATTAAGAAGGGGACGGCTTACCTTCCACTGTAAGAGTTACCTAGAGCATCTGTGATGGTCCTGTAAGCTTCTGAGGTAATCGGGCAGTTTCAGTCTTCAGCTGCTAAGCCGAGAAGATCTGGGAAGGAGTCAGTCAGAGAGCCTTGGGCCAGAGTTCTAGGGGCTGTGGGACTGGTTGCCAGGTGAGTTGAACAGTCTGATTTTCAGTGGGGTCCTGCACAGATGGGACGCGGCTTAGGAGGAATCGTGGGCTGCGGGCATTCCTTGGCCTGGTGGCCAGATTTCTGGCACTTGTAGCAAGCTCCTGGGGGAGGCGGGCCTGGGGGAACGCCTGGCCACTGCGACTTAGGCGTTTGGAAGTTCTTTTGTGCTGGAGATGTGGCTGGGGTTTGTCTCACAGTGGAGGCAAGGAATTGCAACTCAGAAATATATTGCTACTTGGCTGCCTCTACTCTATTATTGTACACCTTGAAGGCCAGGTTAATTAGGTCCTGTTGTGGGGTTTGAGGGCTGGAATTTAATTTTTGGAGTTTTATTTAATGTCGGGAGCAGATTGGGTAATAAAATAAAATGCATATTGAGAATAAGATGGCCTTCTGACCTTTCAGGGTCTAGGGCTGTAAAGCGTCTCAGGGTTGCTGCCAAACGAGCCATGAACTGGGCTGGGTTTCTCATATTTGATGAAAAAGAGCCTAAACGCTAACTGATTTTGGGAGAGGTCGGATAAAGAAAAAGGAGCGTTAACCTTGACTATGCCTTTATATCCAGCCATCTTTTTAAGAGGAAATTGCTGGGCAGGTGGGGGAAGGCTGGTTGAGGAATGAAACTGTAAGCCGGACAAGGTGTGAGGAGGGGAGGTGATAAAAGGATTATAGGGTGGGGGAGCAGAGGCTGAGGAAGAATTGGGACCTGGCTCTGCCTGGTGAGGAGGGGAGAGGTCAGATGGGTCTGTAGAAAAGGAAGATTAGAAAGACTCAGTGATGCTTGGGGTTGGGACTGAGGGGACAGGTGGGAGGGAAAGAAGGAAGATTTGGGACTGGTTGCATTGGGAACAGAGACCAGGGAGGAACCGATGTGTAAAAGAATGCCTGGACGTCAGGCACCTCAGACCATTTGCCTAATTTATGACAAGAATTATTTAGATCTTGTAGGATGGAAAAATTAAAAGTGCCATTTTCTGGCTATTTGGAACTACTGTTGAGTTTGTATTGGGGTCAAGCAGCATTGCAGAAGAAAATAAGATGCTTAGATTTTAGGTCAGGTGAGAGTTGAAGAGGTTTTAAGTTCTTAAGAACACAGGCTAAGGGAGAAGGAGGAGGAATGGAGGGTGGAAGGTTGCCCATAGTGAAGGAAGCAAGCCCAGAGAAAAGAGAGTAGAGACACGGAGGGAAGGGGTTCGGGGGTTCTTACCCTCCAGAAAAGCAGGAAAGGGGTCGGGGCACAGAAATAAGGGGTTGGGGTGCAGAGATAAGAGGTCAGGGTGCGGAAATAAGGGATTGCGGTGTGGAAATAAGGGATCGGGGCACAGAGATAAGAGGTTGGGGTGCGGAAATAAGGGATCGGGGCGCAGAGATAAGAGGTCGGGGCATGGAAATAAGGGATCGGGGCTCAGAGATAAGGGGTCAGGGCGTGGAAATAAGGGATGGGGCACAGAGATAAGAGGTTGGGGCACAGAAATAAGGGATCGGGGGTTCTTGCCCCCAGAAAAGCAGAGAAGGGGTAGAGACACGGAGAGAAGGGGTTGGGGGGTTCTTGCCCCCTAGAAAAGTGGTACTTGCAGCTAAGGGTGAAGGAGAAGGGGTTGGGGGGGTTCTTGCCCTCTAGAAAAGCAGAGGAGTAGAGACATGGAGAGAAGGGGTTGGGGGGTTCTTGCCCCCTAGAAAAGCAGTACTTGCTGCTAAGGGTGAAGGACCAAGGCAGGTGTCCCCATGTGGTCAGACACCTCTGAAACATGGGTGAAAAATCAGAGAGGTGTCCCTGCAATGATTAAACACCAAGGGAAGGCTGCCTTCCTTAGTCCGTGACTGGCGCCAGAGTTTTGGGTCCAAGGATAAAATGTGTCTCCTTTGTCTCTACCAGAAAATGAAAGGAATTGAAAGTAAGAGAGGGAGAGATTGAAGGGTGGCGCCAAGATTGAAAGGAGAAAGTGGTTGAGGGATAGTGAGAGAGGTTGGAGAAGAGAGTAAGAAGAGGCCGCTTACCCGATTTAAAATTGGCGAGATGTTCCTTGGGCTGGTGGGTCTGAGGACCCGAGGTCGTAGGTGGATCTTTTTCACAGAGCAAAGAGCAGGAGGACAGGGGATTGATCTCCCAAGGGAGGTCCTCCAATCTGAGTCACAGCACCAAATTTCATGCGCGTCTGTGTGAAGAGACCACCAAACAGGCTTTGTGTGAGCAACAAGGCTGTTTATTTCACCTAGGTGCAGGCGGGCTGAGTCCGAAAAGAGAGTCAGCCAAGGGAGATAGGGGTGGGGCCGTTTTATAAGATTTGGGTAGGTAAAGGAAAATTACAGTCAAAGGGGGGTTGTTCTCTGGCGGGCAGGGGGGGCGGTCACAAGGTGCTCAGTAGGGGAGCTTTTGAGCCAGGATGAGCCAGGAGAAGGAATTTCACAAGATAATGTCATCAGTTAAGGCAGGAACAGGCCACTTTCATTTCTTTTGTGGTGGAATGTCATCAGTTAAGGCAGGAACCGGCCATCTGGATGTGTACATGCAGGTCACAGGGGATATGATGGCTTAGCTTGGGCTCAGAGGCCTGGCAAGTATAATGTGGCATTTCTGGAAATCAGACTCCCCACCCCGACCCCAAGCTTTGTTGTTGCTATTTGTCATTGTTGTTTGCTTGTGTCGTGACTTTACTAATTGTGTAAATTGTGTATTTTTTTTTGTTGTGTGTGGCCACTGAAGTGTCTGCTTGGCTAGCTTAGCCAAAGACTAGACAGAGGTTTCATTAAGTGATTGCACCCAATGAGTCTACCAGTCTTTGCTGGAGGGGTATATACATAAATTTTTCTGGAACTATTTTAGAGTCACTTGCTGGCATACAGGACAACATAGGCTCCCAACCACTGTGGAGCACCAAAGACAAACCAGAGCAGCTGCACATCCTCAGCAGCTCCCAAATTCCAAAATCTTGGGGGATGGAACCATCTCTCCTGGAGTCTCACCTCTGCACAGTGAGGCCCTGGTGGCTACTGTCCTGACTTCTGGTGATTATTTTGCACTGGAGTCTCTCTTTGTTTTAGTCAGTAGAATCTCTAATGCCCACTTTCACTTTCTGGTTTAAATACAGGCTAAAGGTTCCCCACTGCTCCCCCAGCCCCAAACTCTGTTTCATCCCAGCACCTACCTTGGGCCCACCTTCAATCCTCATTCCTGCTCCTATTACTTTCTTTTTCACCCCAGATTAAGGCTTCTGGGGTATCCTTTCCTAGGACGCAGAATGAGGTATAGTCTGTCACCCCAATTGAAGCTCAACATTTGTTGAGAATTTCTAGTTTTTACTCTGTAATTCAGAGATCTTAGGAAGAATTTTGTCTTCCATCTCCCAACCTTGTTCAGTACAGCCTGGCCTCCCAGGACTATGTGCCATTTTCTATTCTTCCTAGAGAATTTCCTATAAGCAATAATATTTGGAACCAACTAGAGCACTGCTTTTGAAAGAGGCTCATGTAGCACTAGTGGGTCCTGGCCTAGAGGATCCAAGAGCTTTTGGTGCCGATGC
Organism: Homo sapiens; assembly: GCF_000001405.40. Lineage (NCBI taxonomy): Eukaryota > Metazoa > Chordata > Mammalia > Primates > Hominidae > Homo > Homo sapiens. The sequence goes on along the minus strand of NC_000009.12, from coordinate 35,002,329 downwards.
AGCCTCAGGGCAAATAACAGACACATCTCAGCTAAGGAACAATCATAGATTCTTACAGCCCTCAAGGTACTTATGGGTCAAAGCAGCAAGGGTCTAAGGAAGAATTGATTGGGCACCCAAGAAGCTTCCATATGAGGGGCCCCCCGCCAAGTTTCAGAATGACCTAGGGAAGGGTCTGAGGCATAGCCTGAGAAAGAGTCCCAAAGGTAACCTATCAAGGTGTTCAGAAAGCTACTCAGTAGGGGTTTTGGGGGCTGATTCATCAGAGGAGACCAAAAAAAATGACTTGTTGAGTCACTCAAGGAATGGGTCAGGAAATGACATAAATGCATTCAAGAGAGAACCTAGACTGGAAGCAACTGGAAAACACCCTGAAAGTTCACTTGGGCAGGTGGCCTATATATGTGTGTTGTTCATAGCTTGCTGACAGTGATATATTGCTCCCTTCTGGGAAGTCCTATAGCTACTTGAAAACTGGAAATTTGGCACCCTCAGTGCAGGAACACTGCCTAAATACCTCTTGGAAGCTTTCCTTTCTTGATGCAGGTGCTACACAGGCACTAGAAGCCTAAGTGGTATGGTTTTGAGCATGGCAGAGATAGAGTTTACCTCTTTAAAGTCTCTGAATCTGTAAAACTTAAGGTGATAGAGACCCAATCATGGCTCCTTTCCCAAGTCCACCTTTATCCCTCAGCCACCCATGTTTCAGGGATGGCTAAATTGAGGTTGCTTAGTTCCTTGAAACAAACAGGCAGGTCGGGAGATAAGCTGATCACAAGAAATTCAACCCCCACCCTGGAAGTCCTTTCCCTGCCTCCTCAACTGTGAGCAAGGAAGTCCAGAGGACCCTGAGTTCAAGGAGGAGAGCAAACAAACTTTTTAGCTCCTTTTGCCCTCTCCATGGACAAGTCGTGTCAGAGTGGGACTATTTGAGGGCCAAGAGAGGCAGTCCAGAGTTACTTCAAGTTAGACAAAGGCAGGACACACCCAACAGATGAGAGTGGAGTTGTATCCCAACAGACTCTGGCCATGGAGGAGCATTGTCTGGAGGCAGAAGGGGCTCACCACAGAGCATAGCATCTTCTTGGAGTTTTTTCTTTAGGAAAAGGATATGGGAGATTAGGTATTTCTTTAAGAGCCGAAGAAGACAGGGAGGTAGGAAGTCCAAAGAGACTTCAGTTCCTAAGCCACAACAGGAAGATGTCCAGGAGATAAATGCCTATCTGAGTAGTCAAGGAGCTCCGGTGACTAAGGAATACTCCCCAACCAAGAATACTGGTTGCCCAAGATCCAGGATGGCCAAGCCTTAAGGGGATATTACTGTCATACAAGATGAGCAAATGATTGTCATAGTACTGTCATTACAAAATCACACACACATACACACACACCCCTACTATAAAAACATTCAAGGGCTTATCAATGTGAGAAAACCCGATAAAGACCCCAACCCCTCAGGACCAGATTGAACTAGTCTCTCCCACAGCTCTTTTACTATCTTGACTTTTCTACAGCTCTGTGCATGCATGCCTGTCTCTAGGGATGGTTACACAGGCATCACAATAGCAGAAATTCCTCATGCAGTCTCTAAGAAGGGTAAGGTTCAAATTGCAGGTAAGGTTGCAGTCAGCCTTAGGACTTTCTCATTGAAGTGTCCCTTGCCTCAGATAGCCTTGCTTCTAGGCTCTCAAAATCCTATTCCCGGCTGGGCGCGGTGGCTCACATCTGTAATCCCAGCACTTTGGGAGGCCAAGGGTCACCTGAGGTCAGGAGTTCAAGACCAGCCTGGCCAACATGGTGAAAACCCGTCTCTACTAAAAAATACAAAAATTAGCCAGGTGTGATGGTGGGCGCCTATAATCCCAGCTACTTAGGAGGCTGAGGCCAGAGAATCGCTTGAACCTGGGAGGCGGAGGTTGCGATGAGCCGAGATCATGCCATTGCACTCCAGTCTGGGCAACAAGAGTGAACTCTGTCTAAAAAAAAAAAAATCCTATCCCCAGAGTGTGCTCAGCAGGACATGATAATTTCCCAGGTCTTGTGTGTCTACACAGAGGCCAAAGGGAGCAGTTTGGCCCAGCAGACCAGAATCCCAAATCTTCAGGCCTCAGGAAAAATCCTGGACAAGAATTTAGCCACAAGTCAAGAGAGAGGCTACCCTAGGAGCCCCAAAGGAGGAGAGCATTGAGTAGGGGATGTAGGGTGCGGGCATCTCCCTGCTCAGGCCAGGGGATTAGCAGATACCCTTGTAAGCAAGACCCCCTGGTTTCTGCACATTTTCTCCTTTCGAACGGGGTACAAAAGTACCTCAGGTGAAAGGATGAGGAGGTTTTTTTCAGTGTCTTTATTGTGGGGAAAAAAGCCAATTAGTGTCAGCTTAAGCCTGGCCCAGCTAAAGGCAGTGCTGTCTGGATAGTACTGGGGACACTGGCACTCAGGAGGGCATGACTGTCATGGGCCTGATCCTGGAGAAGATGTGGGATTCATGCTCAAAGTCAGCCCCAGGAGGATGTCCAGGGCTAGGCAGAGCCCGCAGATGGGCATTTCTTCAACTATAGGGCTCCTTCTACCCAGACCGCAGGAAAGGGACAAGTGCCCCCTCATGCAGCCACCACTCAGGTCCTGAGGGCCAGAGTTGTCTCTGTAGACACAGGCAGGTCAGAGGCCAGGACAGACATCCCTAGATAACTGAGATTTGAGGATTTGCAGCTGTGTTCAGTGCTTCTCAGGGAGCCTGTGTCCATAGCCAGGCCTCACCAGCGTGGGCCAAGGAGGCCAGGTACCTCTGGCTACCCTCTCCAATGTCCAGGCTCTGTCTTTTACTGCTAGCCACCATGAATATTATATAGTACTATAAGTGTTTAACTGTACATAGCACATATGAAAGCACTTTTCACAGCTATTGTTCATAGAACATGCTTATAAGCCAGAACCATAAAACCTTAATTATAATACATCAACTCCATACTTCCAAAGAACATACCTTCCCACAGGAATATCGACCAGTACTTTTCATCGTACATTCAGTCGTTCATCGTACATAGCACATTACAGTCAAATAAATCCTCGTCACCACAGATATCCCCCCCCAGATAGTGGTTTCTCGCTCACCATCCTCCGTGAAATCAATATCCTGCACAAGAGTGCTACTCTCCTCACTCCGGGCCCAAACACTTGGGGGTAGCTCTTCTAGTCAGCCAGAAAGTCCTTCAGCCTCGCCAGGAGCAGTGGCTCATGTTTGTAATCCCAGCACTTTGGGAGGCCAAGGCAGGCGGATCACTTGAGGTCAAGAGTTTGAGACCAGCCTGGGCAACATGGTGAAACCCTGTCTCTACCAAAAATACAAAAATTAGCCGGGTGTGGTGGTGCATGCCGGTAATCCCAGCTACTCGGAGGCTGAGGCAGGAGAGTCGCTTGAACCTAGGAGACAGAGGCTGCAGTGAACCAAGATCGCATCACTGCACTCCAGCCTGGGCGACAGAGCAAGACTCCGTGTCAAAAAAAAAAAAAAAAAAAAAAAGTTCTCCACCCCCTCCTAGAAAAAAATTTTCTCCTAGAAGGAAAATTTGTCTGACTCAGAGAAAATTTAGACAAGAAGAGAAAATCTGTTTTCATGCTAGCACATCTGAAGACAATGGTCTCTGTCTCTCATGAGCAGGGATATTTTTCCTTCCCAAATAGATGTTTCTTCTAATAGCTGAGTGGTACTTTCTGTCTGTGCTGTGTTTGAAGTATAAGTTTTAGAAATCCCAGGAGGCTTCGAGGAAGGCAGAGGTCAGCTTCAGCTTATACTGAGGGCCTGCTTGGGCTTCTCAAAGGTGACCAGAGCCCGGGAGGGAGGATGACAGTGGCCCTCCTCAGCCACCCCCATCCCAGGTTTGTTGCTCCTGCTCAGATGCCATATTTTTAAAATACTTTATTTTTTACATAATACTGTCATTACAAAAAAATACAAAAAAACTACTATAAAAACATTCGGGGGTTGTCAAAGTGAGAAAACCTAAAGACCCCACCCCAGGATCTGGCTGAAGCAGTCTTCCCCCAGCTTCTTCACTATGACCTTTATACAACTATGGGGGTGGGGTGGGATCACACAGGCATAAAAGGGCTGGAAATTCCCCACACAGCCTCCAAGGGTAAGAAATGAGTAGCTTCACATATCACAAAAGTGGGATTTGGAAGTTTGGGGGTGGCTAGGCCCTGAGTTCAGAGGTGTGGGGAAAAACCTGTGACCCTGAATCTCTTGGTGGGGAATAGCTGCCACCTGACCCCAAAGCCCTTTCCCTTCCTGATGAAGGCTGGTAGATGGGCCCTGTCCCCCACCTCTTAGCCTTAATACCTCAGGCCCCATTCCCTGCCCTCCACCCTTGAACACTCCTGAGAGCAGCAGGGAGGACAGAACCTCCAGCTCTGCAGGTGTAGGCAGGGCAGCTGTTACGGAGGCTGCTGAGGAGCTCACCCCCCTGCTCCAGATGAAAAGTGTCTCGTGCTCAAGTCCCTGTTCACAGGTTGTGAACTTTCCCTTCTTATCCTCTCTCCTTTCTCCCAGAGAGGCACAGACAGCTCTAGGTGAGTGCTTCTTGTGCATGAATATGTGTGCCATTACCTTGGACACTGTGGACCTGGGGGTGGGGCTGAGAAAGCAATGTCCTTTCTAGTCTTTTCCACCCCCAACAGCAGGAAGCCAAAGGGAAGGGAGGGGACTGGTATTAGCAAAGCTGAGGGGAGGAGGACATGCTATGTACAGGCATGGATAAGGAATCTCTACATATCTTCAAGTAGCACTCAGGTCACTCTCCAGCCACTGCAGTGGAAACTGGATTGAAAGCTAGTGACATGAACATTGACCCCTGGCCTGGGCTAGCTCTCCCCACCTCCCTCCCACTCCCCCCAGGCAGCCCAGCTCTAAAAGGGGTCAGGGACAGGAACATTTTCCTGAAAACCAGTGGCTTTTTTTTGCATTTTAGAAAAAGTTGCCAGTGTCCAGTGGACATCAAGCTGGGTGCACATTGAGTGGAGTGAGTGTTGGGGGTATTGCTGTGGTAGGCTCTGGACTGGCTGGGGCAGAGCCTAGGAACAGGGTAGGTGCTGCTTAAGGATCTGTCTTGTCTGTGGTGTTAATCTGTCTGGGAAGCGAACTTTGAACTCAACAATGAGGTCTCCTCGCTGAGTTGGCACTTTGGGGAAGGGAAGGCCCTCCCCACGGAGTCTCTTCACGGTGCCTGGCTTGATGACATCATTGCAGGGCAAAGGGATCACTCGGCCGTCGATAGTGGGAATGTTCACAGTGCAGCCACACAGCGCCTGGGAAAGACGAAGCAGAAAGTGAGGAAAAGGTGGGGTAAGGTGAGTGGGAAGGAAGGAAATAGACTGAGGTGGGGAAAGAATGTGCCAGCTGGCGGGAAGAGAGGGAATGTCCCCACCATCTCCCCAGCACACACACACAGCCTGACTAGGCCCCACCTCCTTGAGGCTGATCAGGGCACTGTAGAGCACGTTGGTGCCATCTCGGCGGAAGTGTGCATGGGGCTTGTCTTTGAGCACAAAGACGATGTCAGCAGGGATGTTGTCAGGTGTGGCGTCGCCTTCTTTGGGGAAGGTGATCTTGGTGCCTTCCTTCCAGCCACGCTTGATGACTATGTGCAGGATCTTGTCCTCGGTGCGCACAGTTCGCCCATCAGGGTTGAGGCGACGCCTTGTGATCTTCATGCGCTTGGTGGAGCCATGGTAGATCTCCTCCAGGGACACCCGCAGCTCGTGCACCACTGGGGGGTCCTGCACCTTGCGCCGAGGGTACAGTGGTTCTGGGGCTCGCCTTGGACCCCTACTCAGCCCATTGAAGCCAAAACGGCCGAAAGCGCCAAATGGGTCCTCATCTTCATCCACATCCATGTCATCTGGGTCAAAGCCACTGAAGGGCCGAGTGGAGCGGCTGCTGGCAAAGAAGATATCGAAGGGGTTGGAGCCACCAAAGAAGGAGGCAAAGGTGGCATGGGGGTCCCCATGAAAGGTGTAGTGAAAGGAGCCACTGGAGCCACCTGATGTGCCACCGCCGGTCTTCAGGCCTAGAGGGGAGGAGAAGTTAGGGGCAGTGTGGCTTATTCTGGCCCCAATCCCAGTGTCTTCCCCCTGCCCTCTAGCTCCCAGTTCACAGGCTTAAAGAAAGAAGCAACCTTTAAATCCCACAGAGAGGGCCAGGCTAATAGAGTAAGAAAGGCTTCTGGCAAGATTATCTTCCATTCCTAATTATATATTTAATAACGATGCACAACTTGAGATTCAAAGAGGCTTGCTTACCCAATAGGTGGAAAAGCCAGGACTAGAGGACTTAGAGGATGTGACTTCCAGTCCTGTAATCTTTTCCACATACTCATGGTCCAAAGATGTCTCAAAAAGCCTTGAATGACTAGCCTGGTGTCACATTACAAGTGATACTTGGTTCCCAAATCTTTGCTTATCTCCAAAGACATATAGGACAAGGGGCCATCAGACAGGATGTGACCACAGAGGGGGCTGGTAAGTGAACAGTCGCAAATAGGCTAGGGATCCAACCCGGGAGGAAGACCACTTTCACTCTGCTTCTAGCAGTGTTTCCTCTTTCCCTGGCCCCTGCTCAAACGGGAAATCAGGAAGCCTTAAAAAGTGGGAAAGCTCATTAGCTTGGAGATGAAGAGCTATTTTTCTAGAAAAAGTTTTTAAATGCTTTGTTCCCACACTCTGCTCGGTGTTACACAACTTTAGGGAGTGTCATTCACACATTGTACAGACATAGACTACAATGGGAATGGAGCTCCCTGGAGTTATACAACAGCAAACGCCATACCCCACACCTAATGTTGAGCAACCAAAATGCATGAATGGGCTGGCACATGGCAGTGGTGACCTTAGCTGCTCTCTCTGTCAGGTCCTGTCTAAGGGGCTCAGATTCCTGGAGGCAGCCTTCATGCACAGGAGGGGGTGCTGGCAGTAGTGGGGGATGTGGGGAGACGGTTCACACTGAGAACTGCTCCGGAATACAGAGACTATGGGTGGGGTCCAGGCTAGGAAAGAGACCCTTCTCTTTGAGGCCATTTATCTAGAATTTCAACTGATCATGGAGATCTGAGCCTAAATTAGCCTCTTATTTCCTGGGACCACAAGGGCAGATTTGAGTTTCACTAGAGAGGCCAAGTGGCAGACGGTTCAGGGACTTGTGGCAGCTGCCTCTTCACCCCTCCCCCAAGACCTAGGATCTCTCCTTTCCTTCTATCGAGGGGCTGATTATCAAGCGAGTTCAAGCAGCCTGGCAGAGCTCAGTGAGAGAGGGAGGGAGGCTGGACTGATGATGATGGGAAGGGGTAATTCTCTCTATAGGGATTTCTATTCTTCCACTACCACCCCCTTTTCAAGCTGGGAGCAACTTGTCCCTAGCTGGAGCTGCACACAGAGTCTGTGTGTATAACTGCTCTATAATAAATGGCTGCTGGGGATTGGGCAGGGTGGACAGAAATATAACCAACATTTCTAAGCTGCTTCTCCCTCCCCAGGCCATGGAGGTCCCCTTAAGGCCATGCCGCATCCTCAGGGGCCTTCCTGGGATGGGGTTCTGCATCAGAACCTGGTGTCTGGACCCCTTCACTTAGGCAGAAGGGGTGAAGTATCTCAAGGGAGCTCTCCCAGCTCCTGCCTTCTTTCTAAACAAAGGTGAGGCTGAATGGAGGAATGGGTGCAATTCCAAGACAGGTCACATGGTGGCATGGTGTCTGCACTGCTTCCCTCTTTTCCACTCCTATCCCTCCCATCCCTCCATGCCAGAGAGAAAAATGTCTTAGCTGAAAGAATACTGGGGGTTCCAGCCGGTATCTGGTGAATCTGGGAGTTGGCACGTCTAGGAGGTAGGCAGGAAGAATGGAAGGAACCGGCAGCATGGAGAATAGGAAAAGGGAGTTGGGAGGATGAGGGTTCACAGAGGGGCATGGAACACAAGGCCAGGAGGAGGGGAAGAAAATAACCTTCTTATCTACATATGATTAGCCCATTTAGTTTTGAGGATAGAAAGGGGAGGGTGAAGAGGAGGAGAATGTGAAAGAAAGGTGGATTCTGTTGGGGAGGAAGGACAGTTCTTCCCAGGAAGGAGAGTCCTCAGCGTGACAATGTCTCTTAATATAGCCTGACAGGTGCCTGTGGCTGGCGGGTGGCAGGCAGCCCTGAGGGGCAGGCCCAGAATTAGCAGCTACATCATGGCCGTGGGATGTGCTGGGAGGGGCCTCCCTCTCAGAGGCTTTATTTGGGCCTTTCCTGCCTCCCACCCCATGGCCACCAGCTACCCCAGGGAAGGGGGAAGATGCCAGCAGCAGTTCCCCGTCCACCCTTGGATCCCTGCCACTTCCTCTGGGAGGCAAAGCTCCACCTCTGTTCTGCTGGCCAGAAGCAGGCAGGGCCGGGGGAGAGAAGGGGAAAACCATTTCTGCTCAGAGCTCTGGTAGTTAATTCCCAGGCTGCTTAAGGGCCAGACTTTTATGCTGATGAATGTAAATGCTCTGTCCTCAGAGAGCCACACACTCCCTCTCCCCAACCTTCCTCATCAGCCAATGAAGCAGCGGAGACTTCAGGCAGGACTAATAAGGCTGGGAAGGAAAGAAGGGCGGGGAAGGCCTCTGGCTCTTGCTTCAGACCTCTCTAAGGCCTGAACCCGAGGAGGGAGGGGGCAGAGAGAGGCGGGGAGAACTAGGGTGAGCTGAGCTGGGTAGTGGGTGGGCTTCTCTCTTCTCTGGGTGACAGTGCTGGAAACCCTTGCTGCCCTCACCCCCTCCACAGCCTCCAGTTCCCCGCTACACAAACTGGTGCACCTGGGACCCCTACCAAGCGGAGGGGTCCGGGATTGGGCTGGAGTGCTGCCCTCTTACCTTCCTCCCCATACTGGTCATACAGGCCCCGTTTCTTGGGGTCACTTAGCACATCATAGGCCTCTGCAATCTCCTTAAACTTCTCCTCAGCGTTGGGTTCTTTATTCTTGTCTGGGTGGTACTTCAAGGCCATCTTCCGGTAGGCTTTCTTGATCTCATCCTCGTTGGCCCCCGATGGGATCCCAAGAATCTTGTAATAATCTTTTCCCATCACAGCCACTGGACCAGCACTGGTCTCCTTGTTTCTGAAAGAAACCCAGGGCCAAGACTTGATGCCTTCTCTTCTGCCCCAGCCCTGTTCCTGATGATCTTGCAATCCCTAAATGACTCCCTGGGTAACCTTCAGCAGGTCATGCCTGTTCTGTGGGCCTGCGTCCCCCCATCTGTAAAATGAAAGGTTTGGACTAGATGATCTCTTCTGGCTCTGACATTCTAGAATTCTGTGATTCCGTCCTCACCTCCTGGGTTTTCCCAGCAGGAAGCTGAAGGTTGTGGCCCACTCTTGGGGCTAGGCTGAGGCCCTGGTCCTTGGGCCAGACTGAGGACCCCTGAGAGGCCCTGCTGAGCGAGGTGGCACCATGGACTGAGCGACCCACACACAGGAGCTGGCGAAGGTCAGTGTAACGGGTGAGGTCACCTGAGCATCGTGGTCTCCTACGCCACGCCTCAGGCATGGTGCCCAGGCTGAGGGCAGCTGGGGCAGTGGCCCAGGACCGGGAACAGGCCTGGGTCTTCCGCCAGCTGTCCTGGCCAGCCAGACTGAGTCAGGGAATGGGTGTCTGGAGTCCTGTCTGCCATCGGAGACCCCAGGCCTCCCCGCCCCCACCCCTCTGACGATGCTAAGCCTCACGTGTGACTCAGATCACAGGGTGACTCACAGCCTTTGGAAACTGCTGTTTCCAACTCCCTCATTAGCAGGGGGGGCGACACTATCCTTCCCCCAACCAGGGCAACAGTTCCCTTTACTCATTTGCCAGCGTCTACACACAAAACTGTGAGGGCTGTGCCGCCTAAGCACCAGTGTGAGTGAACAAAAGCATCCTGGGGACAGGACTTTTTCAACCCCAGCTGTTAGGAGACAATTGGGCACTAACCAACCACCATTTCCTTAATACCTCTCCTAGCCTCACCCTACGCCCCCAGTCCACCCTGTGGTTTAGGATCCGGCCCATCATCAGACCCATATTCCTCTGAGTCCCTTTTAAGGTGGGTGCAGGAGCATTTGTTATAAGAGAAACGTACAACCCGAATTCTTCCATTCCAGTCTCCCTCTATCGGTGTGTCTGTGGTGGATATCAGGGGAAGGGGGACTTTCCTGTAGCTAGAGCTCTCTGGGGGATGGCCAGAAGCCATTCTCAGCCCTTCTGAGACTTGGCCAACCCCTGCCAAAGCCAGGAGAACCAGAGTCTTTCTAGCAATGTCCTAGGCTGGCAGCCACAGCTGAGACCTGCCTTTCTGCCTCTGACTGCTTCACAGCAGGGAGGTGTACAGGGTGTCCTTCCAGGAGTGAGGCCTGTAACCGGGTAAGGGGGAGGCGCCCAAGGCCCTAGGTGGGCAGGGACAATGGCCCTCACTGCTGCCCCCACAGGCCCTGCTGCAGGTGGCTGGGTTGACTCATGGTTCTGGGAGTCACCTTTCTCTGACGAAGAAAAGGCTCCACAAAGGCGGGTACTCCCCCATTGCCCCCCACCAGCATGTCACGTCTGTGGGGGAGATGGGGTGGGGGGTGGGGTTGGGAGAGGCAGAGAAGAAAGAGCACCTCGTTGGGGGGGGGGGCAACCGTTTTCGGAAATGGCAGCAAAAGCCGTCTGAGAGGGAGCGGGGGGGGGTGGTCTGCCATTTCTGCCTCAACCCACACCTTCTTTCCCCTGGGACTGGGAAAGAACCCTAGCACACCAAGAGGGTGCCCCTAGAGAACGAGAGCAGCTTCCAGGCAGAGGGCCAGTGGAACGGCTCACCAACCACCCACCTCCTTTTGGTGTCCCTGCATTACCTCCACACCCGGCCAGCTTCCTCCCTGGTACCCACCTGCTAGCTGCTCTAGGCCCATACATCTCTTGCCTCCGCAGACACAGGGCAAGCTCTTTCAGGATCTGCCTCCTTTTTCTCTTTCTGCTTTCCTCCCTCCTTCCCTTCCCCCCTACCCACAGGCCACGTGTTGGAATGACAAAGGAGCCCCATGGCATGGCACTGCCTTTGATGGAGAAGAATGAGGAGGATGTTAAGGTAGAGGCAGGAAGGAAAAATGGGGAGAAAATGGCGAGGGGGACTGTTGAGGTACAGGGAGGGGAGATGGCTGATACAGAAAATGAGGTACTGATGGAGGGGGATGAGTGACAGATGGAAATGGCTGAGGTGGAAAATGGGTTAATGATGGGTTGAAAGGGAGGAATGTGGAGAGTTGAAATAATGGAGGAAATGTCTGTGGAAAATGGATACCTGAAGGGTTTGAGAAAAGGAATGATAAGGGGTGCAATTCATTCAAATATGTGGGTGAGGCCGGAGGGGGGTTCCTGTATGTCACAGAGGGGATGAGGATGAGTTGGAGGAAGCAGGAAGGCAATGGAGGGGATGGCCGCGTGGAGGGTTTGACTGGGTATGGGTGTGAGTGCCCTTCTCCGGAGGGACTTACCGAAACTTTACAAACCCATTCAGCGTCCACGCTCGAAGTTTTAAGGGCTCCAGCTGAATTTTAAACATCAAGCTGGCTAAGAAGTCTTCTCCCCAGGAGTGTGGGAAGCTCCGGAAAGCTCCTCGGGCCTGCAGTGGGGGTGCTGCTGGGGGTGGGCAGGAGAGCACTGTGCGCTTAAACATGCCCAGCCAAGCCCCTCACCTCTGATCGCTCCACCGGAGCCGGCCTGAAGTGCTGCAGCTCTGGAAGCCACCTCCTTGGACTCTCAGAGGCGCGTGCCCAGCAAGGCCTGTCTGGCGCAGCAGGTGCCGGACCTGATCCCCAAATGTGGAGAGTGAAGGGAGAAGACCCGCGGCCACCTGCTCTCAGGTGCAGCAGTGTCTGGCTGGCTGTGAGCGGCTGTATGGCAGCGTGTCAGTGAGGCTGGGAGTGCAAGCGTGTGTTTGTGAGTGGCAGCGTGTATACCTGTGACAGGTGTGATTGTGAGGGCCCGAGAGGCAGTGAGCTCCTGTCGCCTCTCACTGGGGAGGACCCGACCCCAATCCCCAAGAACCTACTCAATGAAGTCACTGACGGGAGTCTCCTCCCTCGCAGATGGGCGGGGCAGAGCGGAGCTCGGCCGGGACAAAAGGCGCGGCGAGGAGAGGAGGGGAGGGGGCTCGGGCGGGGGAGGGTGGTCGGTGATGTCACCCGCGCTGGCTGGCTGGTCTGCTCACAGATGCCTCCGCCCCACAGAACCCAATCTGGTCCGGTCCGACTCGACCCTCCCCTCCCCTCCCCTCCCCGACTCAGACGCTGGCTGCCCCCTGTGACAGCCAAGCCCTGGTCTAGGACTCCGAGCACCCTGCAGACCCCGGGGCCCCGCATCCCCAAGGCAGCAGAGCCTACGGGCCCTCAGTGTCCCAACCCCCCAACACCAGGAGCCCTGGCTTCACGACGCCCCGCTCCCGGGACCCCCGAGTCCTGGCTTGGCGCCCTCACCGGTGAGGAGCTGCGGGCGCCGCCGTGGTCCGTGAGACAGCCGCTGCCCCCTCCCCCGGCTCCGGCTCCGCCGCCTCCACCCGGGACAGGAGTCGCCTGCCCGCCGGCCGCCGATAGCGGGACCGGGAGCCCGCCCCCACGGCTCCGCCTCCGCGCCGCCCATTGAACCGTCTTCCTGTCACTCAGCTCAGCCTCCACTGTGATTGGGCAGTTTTCAACAAGCGGCTTGGTGATAGCCGCCCATCCTCCGCCCCTGTCACCCGGCCACACGCGCACACATTCCAGGCAGTGATTGGTGTGGATCTGATTGGCGCCCTCTGGGATCACTCAACCACGCCTCTTTGCCATCTTGTCGTGCCATTGGTGAAAAAGACAGAGGGCGGCAACCTCGCTCGCCCTTTGATTTTATTGGTTCGTGCCTGAGACTCAGACCCGAGCCCGGGGGCAAACTATATTAGTCCAATCTCCGGGTTGAGAAGGTGGGACGTACTGGCCACTGCTCGAATCCCAGGAGAACCTTCTGGAACCCTTGCGACGTCAAAGGCAGCCTTAAAGGAAAACTGTACCCACCAGTTGGCCGTGCGGCCGTGCATTCTTTCCTTTCTTCATTGGGGGGCAAGAGGGAGAGAACAGTGCACTCTGGGAGGTGTAGTCCCTGGACCGGGGCCAAAAGGTCAGCACTTCTTACTCGCCTTTCAGCCAACGGTGTAACCACCTCAAGCTGACCTCATTTAGCTTTACCTTATCCTGACCCCGCGGTGGCCTGATGTGACCTAACGGAATCTCTAACAGACCCCACGGATGCCGGGTTTCAGAGCCCCCCGGACCTCTCCCCCGAGGGAAACGGATGGCTCTGCCCAGGCCGGTGCCTCCAGGAATCTCCCCCGCCCACCCTCTGTACAGCCCCTCATCCTCGCGCCCCTCTTCAGCGACCCCGCGGTCTCCATTTCAGTCCCTCTTCTAATCAGTCTCTCATCCTGCTTCCCCCTGGAGTGCCTGTGTTTTAGCCCTTTCCTTCTTGGCCCTAGATGATCTCCTGTCTTCCTTCCCGCAGTGATCCCTTTTGTCTTATTCTTGGTTCTTTCTTTACACCCCGATCTCCTATCCTAGCTCTCCCCTTTCATCTTTCATCTCACTCCCCAAGATCCCCTTCCTTAACACCCTCAGAATCTCTAGTCTCCCCCACCCCCCATTAAGTCATTAGATCTCAGCCCCAGTGTCCCCGATGCAGGGAGCAGGCGGGGCTGCGGAGGCGGTCGCCAGCGGAAGCCGCCACTCCAGCAGACACGGTGCCTGGCGCCCACGTCACTGTCTCCCAGGCCCATCTGTGCTCGAGGGAGCGGGGGTGGGGAGGGAGTAATTTGGGGGTGAAGTGGGGGAGGGGAGTGCTGGGGGGTTGATGATGATAGAAGGGTCAGGCCGGAAGCTCCCCTTTACTTCTTTCTTTCCTATTTTCCAGAGACAGAGTTTGGACACCCATGAGGTCTTGCTAGAAACTGCAGCTTGAGTACCTGGGCCAAGAGCAGAGCAAGGCGGGGGGGGGGTGCCAGGGTCCTGGAGTCATGTCTGTAGATTCTTCACTACCTACCTTCATGCCAGGAGTCACTATGGGGCTCCCAAGGGTAAAGGGGCATGAGGTGTGAAGGAAGAAAGAGACTTGGGGTGAAAGGAGGATGGAAAGGAAGTGGGGTTGGGGGCCAGGAGGGGAGCAGAGATGGGTGATGAATGTGGGGAAATGAGCATGAGGAATTTGAGGAAATGGGGTTGAGGGGGGGAGGTAGGGAGAGGGGGTGGTGAGAGGATGGTGAGATGGGGTGAGGGGGATGAGGAGGGGAGGGGCATGGGGCAGATGAGCCATAGGGTGGGAGTAAGGAGGGCAGAGGAAAGGAGGGCTGGGGAGGGGAGGGAAGGCAGGGTGGGGGATAAGGAAAGAAGGGCTGGGGAGGGGCAGGAAGGCAGGGTGAGGGATGAGGAAAGAAGGGGTGAGTAATGAAAGGATGAGGCACAGAGATGGGGTGAGGAGGAGTGAGGAAGGGGGAGGGGAGGGAGGAGGGATGGACATCTCTGTGTGACACAGAGATGGGTAAGGTGGGGTGAGGGGCCCTGCACCGCTGCTGGCTCCTCAGATCTGGGGGCTCTCACTCTTCCACCTCCACACCTGTGGGGCCCAGGCTGTGGGTGGCTCTACTTCTTCCTATTCCAGTTCTGTCTCTTTTGCCTCCCCCAGCCTTGCCTGTGCCAACACGGAGGCAGAGAGTTTAGTCACCAGCCTTTACCTGGCCCCTGCTAATGCTAAAGTGTAGGCTCGGACCTTTGAGGGTGCAGAACTGTGCCTTCAGGTGTTGGTGGCACAGACTCCACTGTTTGCCTAGTCCTCGGTTCCCGCCCTCAGTCCCATTGTCCTGGGTGTCACGTGTGTGTAGTGCTCAGTGTGGCATGGACTGTGACAGTGTGGTCTGGAGTCTATGCACCTTGTGAGCTTACACGCCACACTCATGCCTCATCTCCTTTGTAAATGGGGATTGGTGCCTCAGGGGGTTGTTGAGAGGGTTAATTAAGGTAACACAGGTAGTGCACTTAGTTCTGAGCTGGGCATGTAGTTTATACCCAACCAATGGTTAACTTGGTTAACTCAACCAAGTTAACCATTACTCTACATGTTCACAGATGCTGGGAGTGCGAGTGCATCTATAAATCTGTGAGTCTGGGAGTTATTTGTAGTGTGGTACTGGTAATGTGATTTGTGAGTGGATCTGTGCAGTTATTTTTGTGTGGTGGTGTGCCTGATTCTGTTATATGTTGTAGGTATATGATTTTGGGTCAGTGTACATGTGTGAGTAAATGACTGTGCGGGCATGTGTCTACATGACAAAGAGTGGATAAGGTATATAGGCACTGACACATTGACACCATGTCTGCCAGCGTATGCACGCATCTGCGATCATGCCAGTCCCAAACGCCCCCACTCACCCTCCCTCCCCTTGGAGACGTCATAACCCTAGGTGTCCCTCATTTCCTCACCCTGAGGGAACCGGAACCCGTGGGCAGGGGTGGGGGTGGGTGCCAGTGAGGAGGTGTTTTAGACAGAGGCACATGTTCCCTCCCAGACTGTATAGGGAAGGGAGCCCCTATCCTGCTCACATCCCGAAGGCTGCAGAGGAAGTGCCCCCAGCCTGTTTTCAGTTCCCTGTCTTGTCACCATGGTAATGGTTGCCAGGGGTTCCCATGGTTGCTAAGATCTGGGTGTGGGAGGCTGCCAGGCCCTGTTGCCAGTAGAAACAGAGAATCCTGGGGGGAAGGAAGACTACCCTCACAGCTGCCACCTCCCTGCAGTGACAGAACTGGCCCTTGGGCCACTTCTCTCCCCCAGTTGTACCTATGAGTTGTATGTGGTAGTACTAGTGTGTGTGTGGGAGCAGGAGCGGGGGCTTTAACAGGAAACCAGAACTAGAATACTGGGATACTAGAATACTGAGGAACAGGGGGCTACTTGGCCTACCCATCACCATCCTTAAAGTTGGGAGGGCCTTACGAATTAGTGACTACCTGCCATCTCTACTAAAATACAAAAAAAATTAGCCAGGTGTTGTGGCACATGCCTGTAATCTCAGCTACTCAGGAGGCTGAGGCAAAAGAATCGCTTGAACCCAGAAGGCAGAGGTTGCAGTGAGCCGAGATCGCGCCACTGCACTCCAGCCTGGGTGACAGAGTGAGACGAGACTCCCTGTCAAAAAAAAAAAAAAAAGAAAAGAAAAGAAAAGAAAAAAAAGAAATGAGTGACTATCTCCTGCTGTCCCCTGTCCCTCATATCTCTCCCCTGGGCAGTCTCCATGTTTGTTCTTGAGTTCTCCAGTGCCTGGGTACTCATTACCTGATGCTTTCTCCTGGGTGTAGGAATGCCACGTTGACCCATCACCTTGGCTGCAGATGGCCTCCCTCCTGTGATCAGACTCTGAGCATCTCACCTGATACATGCTTCATGCTGACACTCAGGCCCAGACTTTGGTCCCACACTGAGTCCCAACTTTGACCTCAGCCTGAGACACAACCTGGTTATTGTCCTGGTAGAGACAGTTCCCCGAATCCAGCCTCTGCCCAAACCCTCCTCCTAGACATGGCTGAGCCCTAATTTTGATACAAAATACTTGAATTCATCTTCAGATTCAGTTCTGATCCTATACTGAACTAACTGAACACTACCAGGGATCTGACTCCCTGATATTCGCTGGCGTCTCCCTGCGTGTTCTGAACCTATGCTGACCAGCACCAGAAGGGTTCAGAGGGGTGATTTCTTGCCTTGGGATGAGAGAGCAATGTTAGGGATGACCAGCAGAGGGCGTGCAACATCAGGTTCTAGAGGCAAGCGTCCAAGAGCCCACCTGTGAGCTAAAAAAATTAAAGTTCTCGTTTTTGACACCAAAACTTTGGGGTTATGTGGGTTCTTACAGTCATGAATCTTCTCCTTCTGGCTCACCTGGGCTCAGCACTGGGTATGCACAGAATGTGCTTAACTGTTTACTGGCATCTCAGGTCTCAAGAGGACTGAAGTCACCCCACCCCCAAATCAGCATTTCTGTCACATGCTTAATACAGCTCCACTGCCTTCCTGGTAACCAGTTATGTTTGGTCCTATTGAGCAGAAATCTGCCTCTCCACAGTGTTCACATTTCATCTTAGCCCTGTCCTTGGGACCACACTGACCTCATTGGTCCATCTGCCAAACATCACCATCTGCATCCTTCAAATCTGCTTCTCTCCAGGACCCATGCCTTCATGGACTCATCCCCTGCCTTTCTCAATTCTACTCACTAAGATCATGTTTCCCTGAATGGGTTTCAGTTTGTGGTGCCCAGTTATGATTAGCTTTTTCCAGGAGAGCTGGTGCAGGGTACGAATGAGCCGGCCTGCCTCCCTCCTCTGACTCTGAACTTCTTTCCACATAGGCTCAGATTACATCAGTTTTTTCTGTGGTTGTTGTTTTGTTTTTCTTTTGAGATGGAGTCTCGCCCTGTTGCCTAGGCTGGAGTGCAATGGTGTGATCTCGGCTCACTGCAACCTTTGCCTCCTGGGTTCAAGCAATTCTTCTGCCTCAGCCTCCTGAGTAGCTGGAACTACAGGTGTGCACCACCACACCTGGCTAATTTTTGCATTTTTAGTAGAGACAGGGTTTCGCCATGTTGGCCAGGCTGGTCTTGAACTCCTGACCTCAGGAGATCCACCTGCTTCGGCCTCCCTAAGTGCTGGGATTACAGGCGTGAGCCATCGCACCTGGCCCATCAGTTTATTTTTTGGTAGCCACCTCATACTGTTCACCCATACCGAGTTAAGGCCATAAGCTCTTTTCTCCCTGAGCTGCTAAATCACCTCTTGTTCATGTGTACGTGTTATAATTTTGAATGGAGAGCTGTATTCATTTTAAACAAAGATACTTGAAATAAAATAAATTTGTTGGCAATACATTCTCAATTTTAGGACAATCTTTGGGCTTGGAAATCTCTGTACTTGATGGTTACTCAAAGGTGGGACAAGGAGGGACTGAAGGTCCTCAGCTGGCTTGGCTATGACTTCAGCACTTTGGACAGAGGCAATCACAGTACCCACCCCACCCCGACCCAGCTATGCCTGGGACTGTGTGAGTGTGGAGATGATACACTCACAGCCTTCAGATGGAGCAGAAATCCTTGCTACTTACTCAGTGCCTTACAATCTGTAAAGCTCTCTCCTCTTATACAAAACTCTTTCCTCAATTAACCAGCCCAGGAGGCTTACAGGACAGGGACTGTCCTACAGATTTTACAGTCGAGGAAACTGAGGTTCAACAAAGTCAACCTCCAAGCAACCCTTAGAAAGGGTGGGGTGGGAGAGAGCACTACTCCATGTTTAGCAAATTTAGCAGCCATTGATTCTCTTAAGGAATGACTCTCCCCAGGGATAAAGAGGAAATGAATTTGAACCAGAGCAGGACAAGGTGGGTGGAGGTTTGTGTAGAACCAAGACCCCGGCCAGTCCTGGGAACAAGTGGCAGTTGGTGGGAGGAACAGTCCTCAGAGGGTCTAAAGTTCCAGCCAGGACTGCTGAACTGAGGGCAGGGAAACCTTATTCATTCGGGCCCACAGACACCCAGCCTTTTTATGCCCTTTTTCTGTCCCAATGCTTAGCTTCACTGAGCCTGGAGACAAGGACAAAGGGCTGGTGGGATGTCATTAATCTGCTCTCAGTCTGGTGGACCCCATGGGAAGAATTCAGGGAGGAGAGGTGTGGGAGCCTGGTGAGCGGATGGAGTGAATTGTGCAGTGGTAAGAAATCCGTGCCATGGATACAGGCCTGGTTACCTGTCTGTGTCTATTCCCAGGGTGGGGAGGGGAGGTGCTGGCTCACACAGCAGTGGTTCCTTTGAGATGTGCTTTGACAGGAAGCACAACAAAGTGGCTAAGAACATGTCCTCTGAAGGCAAACTGCCTGGTTCCCCTACTTCCTGTGTGGTTGTGTAACCTTGAGAAACATGGACTCTCTGTTCCTCATTTTTCTCACCTGTAATAAAAATCTCATAGGATTATTGTGAAGATTAGTGACTCTATGCAAAGCACTGCCAAGTGCATAGTAAGTGCTCAAAAAATGTTAAAGACGACTTGTACTTGGGACCCTCTCTGGTTTTGGAGGTAGAGTATCGGCCTTTGATCCACAGCCTAGAGATGCTGTCTCACCTACAGGTACTGACTCTGTTCTCACCAGATAAAAGGGAGGAATGGGGATCCCATAGTCCCCCAAATGGCATCTCCAATCTTAGCTTTCCCAACCCTATCATATTACATTAAAGCAATTTGTCAAAATGGGGAGGAAACACTCAGACCAGGAGAAAACAGCCAATGAGTTTCCTTACTTTTAGCTCAGGAGGAACTGGGAAGTGTCTAAAACTGGCCCTGGGGCATGGCACAGGAGAGGGACAACACAGAGCAGACAGCCTTGGAGACCTTATGACCTCATCCTCAATTTCTTTGAAAGCTCTGGCTCTCCACTTCAGTGCTCCTGTTTCTGCTCTGTATCTGTGCTGGATACAGAAATATCAGTATCTCTGTATCTGTATGTGTGGTGCCCCTACCTCTACCCATCTCTTGATTTTTGGGAAGGTCAGGGCCAGGAGAACTCTAGAAAGAGTCACAGCATGTTGTGTCCTTCCTGGCAGCTGCAGCTGCCCCGGTCTTATGCTCAGACCCAGGAATTGATCAACAATGGGAAACCACACAGAAATGGCAGGTTCCCCAAACAACAAGAAACAGGAAGCCGACAGAGCATCGCAATCGCTTTATTATGATTTCCACTGTGCCCAGCCTCAGGGCATCAGCTTCTTCTGGAGCGCTGTGAAGGCTGGGCCACGCAGAGGAGCATGCAGCTGTAGAGACAGGGAGACAGGGCTTGGGGACGTTCCCCTCAGCTTGCTGTCAAGTTACCTTCTGCAGAAAAGCACATGGGAAGGGCATGAGGGACCAGAGCGCATTGGATTCCCAAGTGTTGCTCAAGTGTTCTCAGAGTCCCTCTCACAAACTTGGGTTTGGCTGGGGGACAGATCACAGGCCAACCCATGATGGCAGGAGGCTAATCTTGAGGGCCTTTGTGTCACCATGGCTATGAAAAGGCCTGGCTACTTATAACTTGATGTTCTTAACTGTGGGTTGTGCCTACCCAGTGCTATAGAAACTGGAATGTGATTGGGCTTCTTAGTCACTGGCCCAGACCAGAGCTGACCCCCTTTCCATGCTCTGGGTCACTGGGGCATGTGGCCCAGAGGAAAAAGCTTTCCCTTAGTGCTAGCCGAAATTCTGTAACCTGTTTATTTTCTTTCCAAGGTTGCCAAAAATAGTGGTAGCAGAAAAGTAACAGCAGAGAAAATGCCCAGTCCCACCCTACACCAGGGCTGAGCTGTCAGGAACAGGCACGATGCGTGAATATCCCCCACTCCAGGAGATCTCGCCATTGTCTGGGTTGCAGCCAGGGGCCCAGACAGATATCCTGGGCAAATTCAAACTAAGTGGTAGGAGAAAGTAGCATTTTTTCAGATAAGAGCTTGAAATAAGGAAAATTAAAAAAAAAAAAAAAAGAAAATAGGAATTTTATTTCACTGTAAATAGAGGAGGGGTAAAAAGGGACTGTGGTGACAGTCCTGAAGTTCTGGCATCAAAACTGTTCTGCCTTTTAGGGCCACACATCTGTCTGTCTTCACTCTGCTGGTCTGAAGGGAACATGCTTTCAGGATCACTAGAGCCAGCTACCAGTTCTCAGTCCTGCTTGAAGTTTCTCTTGGCTCTGGGGTGGGCCTGGCTGGCCTGGGGCCTTGCCAGGCAGCTTCTGCTGACCTTCCCTCTTGGCTTTTGGGCTTCCTGGCACCACTCTGACTGAAGCTGTGAAACCTGCAATGGCCGAGGTTGTGCTTTGGGCTATGAGTCCTGGGTATAACCTTGGGGCTCACTCCCCCAAGGAGGTGTCCTCTTCCCAGGCAGTTTAATGCTGTGTTTTTCATAATGGTGACAGGAATAAGGGGACCCTAAGACTTGGCCACTTAAGCAAGGTCAGGGTGACATCCCATAGGGAGCAGCAGGACCAGAAAGGCTGGTATCTGCCCTGCTAGCCCCAGGTACTTGGGCTGAGGGCAGAAAGAGGCAATGTCCTCATGGTTTCTACTGTAGGTGTCCTCAAATGAAGAGGAGCACTTGAAGGTTAGATCAGTACCTAGAGTGAGGGGACTGCTCCATCCCTGGGATACTCTAGGGGCCCTTGCTCAAGTGTTCTGTTGGGGAAGGCTGGGCTCAGGAGAGGAAGCCAAGGAGCAGACTTGGAGTGGTTTTGTGGCCAGGGCCACTGCTCAGCTGACCCTCGGTCCCTGCAGCTCCACCACATCCTCCAGCTGCCCCTTCATTCACATCTGAACATGAGGAAGAGGAATGCTAGGTGAAAAATGCTTAGGGCAAGTGGGCTTCAGAGGAGCCTGTCTATAACCCAGGCCTTCCTTGGTTAGAAACACTGATCTCAATTTTGGGTAGCCACAAAGAAAAGACTGAAACATTTTCTCATACCCTTATTAGAGCCAAACGCTAATATTTGTACTTGGCAGAATTTCAGAGTCACAGTGATGGGAGGGCTTGAAAACGAAATGGGCTTCACTGGGTTTCTGAACGTTTTTAACAACTCTATACATACCGCAGAGGGGCTCTGGGGATTAGAACACTGCAAAGGGAGATTCTGGACGGGGGTTGGGGCAGGGCGTCTGCAACTCTGGACTTGGGGAGCAACGGCACTTCCCCTTTGGTAAAAAGCTAGATGACTGCCTGTGGAGAAGAGGCTGGCTGCTCCTTCGTGCTTTCCTGCTTCCTAGGACTCTTGTGGGATGGGAACTCTACTCTTTGCTGAGGGAAGTGTCCCCTGGGATCTCTGTAGCAGGCCCTCACCCAGGAAGTTTGCTGTTCTGGAATAGGGAGAAGCGTGATCCAAATGGGCCTGTTCCTGTTGTGGAAGAACTCTGGGGCTGCTTTGCCAGGCCCTGGAATACGGCAGGCCTGACCTGGCCCACCAACTCTCCTCACTCACCCGTGGAGAGCTAGAGGCAGCAGCTCCAAAGAGGTAGGCATCACCTTGATCTGTGAAGGATCAGGGAACAAGATGGACTTCCAGTCCCTGTGACTGATGAGGCAGGAGAAAAATGCTATTCAGCTCTCAAAGCCCAGAGCTTGTCTCTACTCAAAATGCCCCGTCTGTGAGATCGAGCAGCCCAAGGCCAGTGGCACAGGAGATGATTTGCCAGGAGAGTAGGTAAGAGCCCCTGTGCTTAATGTGCTTTCATCTCAGTGCAAAACCCCAGGCCTGGCTGCTTCAGATGCAGTTCTTAGGCCCAGGAGTCCTGCGCTTTCTTGTTTTGACTAGACTGAATAATGGCCCCTCCTATGGATCAATCCTGGGGGACGGCTGAAGAGCATTTCTAAAAGCTGTGGGCCATACACCTGAGCCCAGATTTGTCTCCTGTCTGCTTCATTTCAGTCCCAAATAATCCAACCCCAGCAGCTCACCACCCTGCTTCCAGCTAAGGTGGTTCCTACAGGAGGAGACTACACAGGGCTCTCAAGAAGCCCCTGGCCGCAGCTCCTTGCTTTCCTCGAAACATTCAGCACCGAGCGGTGTGTGTTCTTCTGTACGCACCCGATTTAGCACAAGGGCCTCGAGCAATGAAGACGTGTTTGCTTCTGCATGACTGCACTCCACTCCCTTTTGAATAACTCTTGGTAGTCAGATCTCGCTATGCCTAAGTCATTAAGTTGGAAACAGAAGCCTAGAACATGGACCCCACGGCCGGCCAAGATGAGCCATAACACACGGACTGAAGAATTTGAATTTGATGAGTACTTAGGAAGGAGGGCTGGGGCTTGGAGGCCAGGCTTGGTGCTCTTGTGGCAGCCTCTGATTGCCCCAAAAGGCCTTCCATGCCAGGCCCAAGCCCTAGCCTGCTGGGGAAGGACATGTGATGAGCAGTGAGGAGAAGCAGCCACTCAAGCCGAGTCTCAGTGATAGGGAGAAGCGGAAAACTTCTTCTGTAAGGCTTTCCCAGGACCTTCTCTGCAGAGCCTCTTCTTAAGCCCCAGCCTCTTATCCTGTTTGTCAGGATGGCTGAAAGAGTCCCTGCTCAGGGCTCTGCAGATCTTTCTTGGGCTGTGGAAGGTGTCTACAGTTGAGTTGAGCTGGAATGATGAGGAAGCAGAGCCCCGTTCTCTCCTCTTCCTCCAGAGTGTGCTCTCGTCAGTCTCTGTGGTCGGTGACTTGGGTGAAGCATCTAACACAGAGGGCTGTGGCTCCTGCCAGTGTGTTTGCTCCATTCAGGCCCCCTTGGCCCTAGGCCATGAGCTACCATCTGAAAAATGGGGCCAAGAAGGCTCACCTTGATTTTTGACTACCCTGCTAAAGACTTTTGGACTCAGGTGACCTGACTGAGAGGTTCCTAGAATCCCGAGTCCCTGGGAAGGGCTGCCTCCCCCTCTTCCAGTCAGGATTCTCCAGGCTAGTTGCCTTTTCTGTCACCAGGAATTGGAATTTAAATAAATAAAGGGCTGAATTTCAGTGGTGATGTTTAACTCTTTTCCCAACTCAGTACAGCCGAGGTACATAATGCACACCTACTAGTAACAGCAGCTGACTGCAGAAGGGATTTTTGGTGGAGAAAGCGGGGCCCATTAGGATCTCCAGGAGCTCTAGGCAGGCATGCGAGTCTGACATGCCCCCTTCCTAAGAATCACTTGGCCAGAGACTTATCTATTGGAAATTAGAACTGGCCTGCCTATAGAAGGGGTGAGTAGAGACCCCCTCCTCTATACCAGGGGCTTCACAAAGGGACTTTGGTCCTTTCTCAACCAAAAAGAACCAGGCTTCTGAAGGCATGGACAGCTGGGCAGCATGTGCACATGTATATAAGTGTGGTGGCAGGTCCCGTCTATGATGTGGGGCAGGGGCGGTCCAGGAGAGGATGCTGCCACAGCTCCCAGGGCTTCTCCTTGTGGCAATGCATTCACTGCCTCTATTGTGAGGGGAATGGTGATTTCAGTGCCTTAAAGCTTAGTGACAAGTTAAGACGCTGGCAGTGTCCCAACCCCATGAGTCTCTGTGCCAGAGGTTGGTGGGGGAAGGGAGAAAGGAAAGGAGGGAGAGGATGTCACTGTCCTCAAACCGAGCTTCTCTGCTCCATGCTATCCTGGGGGCTTCAGGTGAATGGCTGCGCTGTTGGGGCGAGCAGCCAGGATGTAGAGGACATTCTCTTGCAGGAAGGTAGGCCAGTCCACAAATCTGGAGTGGAAGCAAAGAACAGAGTCGTGAGGCTGGTTTGAAGACACGTGAGCCCTGATCCCAGGGGCAGCATGGCTTGAGGAGGCTGGTTTGAAGACGCGTGAGCCCTGATCCCAGGGGCAGCATGGCTTGAGCTACACAAAACTCAGGGAAGCTTGGCTCATGCCTGACCTGGCTATGGCTGGCTGTGCTACCAGGCCAACAGACCAGCTGGCTGGTCCTATAGACTTGGGTCAAATGTGCACTCTTGGAGCCTGGTTTCTTGGGTGGGCGCTTGCTGTTTTGGAGTGGGAGTGGGTAATGCCCTCTCTTACTTGTGTGTTTTGTGGGGGTTCAGAGGGTACAAATGGCCAGGTGAGGAGGTCCTACTCACCTGGACTCCTGCTCTGTGGGCAGCAGGGTCTTGTCCTGACTCTTGCTGCTGCTGCTGGCTGGGCTGCTATCTGCGATGGGACCCACATGGCTGATGCTGCTGGGCATGAGGACACGTGGTTAGGAGTGGGATAGTGAAATGCCTGCCCCCTCCCAAACTCTGGTAAGCCCAAGGCTCTGGACATGCTCATCCAGGCTCTTCTGACATGTGGCAACACCGAGTTGAAGGCAGAGGCTGTCCTATGCCCTGGCCCGTAGGCATCACCATCCTCTACCTAATGCACAGGAGGCTCCTCTCTCGGCTGTTGGCAGGGGGAGCAGGGAGGTATGGAAGGGCCACTGGCATGGAAAAGGGAGGAGGAGAGGCTGAGTGGGGACCAGGACTGGTAAGGAGCAGACCTGACACTGCAGGAAGGAGCCTCTGGGAACCGTTTGCAAAACCAAGAGTGCTGGGCCCGGCGGCACTCTGCCTCACTGACGGTGCTCCCACTGCCCCGAGCCAGGAAGGCGGCTCGGGCTCGCTCCCGCTCCTTCACTGTCAGAAGCCTCAACAGAGAGTTCTGGGGAAGAAGAGACAAGATCTTAGAGGTGAAGATATCTTGTAAACTGCCAAGCCATAGAGAATCCTATCTCCATTACCACCTTTGCAACCTCCCTTAGAAGCTGCCCAGAGCCCTTCTGGAGGCATCAGCACTTCCAGTGCGGCCCAGGGCAGATCAGTCTTCCTCACGCAGTTTCCTCAGCCTGGGCACCAGATCATCTGTCACTGGATGGAACCTGAGCCCATTCCTGATACTTGTCCCTGCTTGAGCAGGACCCAGTGCTCCCCCAATCTGCCCAGCGTGCCTCCCAGGCCCTTGTCACCCAGTATCCCAGGAACATTTGCCCCAACTGGCCCTCACCTGGGGACGCAACTGCTGCAGAAGCAGGAGGGACTCATGGGACAAGAAGTCAGGCCACTCTATGTGGCCTCGATGTTCAGGGTCCAGGGCAGCAAACTGGCGGGCCGCCTGCTCTTCTTGCTCCTCACTCAGGGCCCTGTCACGGTCCCCCCGCTTGGCTGCTTGGTGGCGGTAACGCAGAAAGTCCTCCAGTGTCAGGGAGCAATCTGTGGGAGGCACCCCGTGCTAGCCATGCCCATCCTTCCTCAGCCTCAGGGCACCTCCATCACCTCCAGGGCACCCTCGGGGCCCCCAAACCCACAGCTCTTGCTAAGTCTCTGCCTCCCATGGCCAGGGTCACCCAGGCTGTGACAGGGATAGGTGACTCTGCTGGCCAACAACTCAGGAACAAGGACTCATTTACCCTCTACCCACTAAATATGGAACACTCCTTTCATGGTTCATTCTAGAAAGCCTGAAGGAGAAATCTGCCCGGCCCCTCTCCATCCATGCAGCACCACCCAACCTTACCAGGGATGACTTTACACCGCTGAAAGGTCTCCGTGAGGCTATACATTTCCTCCTCAGTAAGCAGCAAGTTGATGTTGTCCTGAAAATAAGGAAGAGCTGAGTCGGTGGCCATACAGGCCAGTAAGAAAGGCCAGGGTCAAGGGGGCTAGAAATAGAATTTCAACTGGAAAGCAGTTCCAAGATCATCTAATCCCAGCCTCCTATTCACAATCAATGAGATTGAGGCCCCAGAGAGGAGAAAGGACTTGGCCAGAGTTGTCTTTACTCTGGGGCAGAATCTTCCCCAAGAACCCAGATATCCTGACTCCAGCACTGAGTCCCTTTACTAAAACAGTGGTTTTCTCCTCTGAGCTAACCTAGGGATTTCTTGGAAGTGCCTTAGGAAGCTGCTGCAGGGAATAAGGGGGCTAGTGAGTAGGCAGGTTGTGAATCCCTATCTCCATCAAGCAGAGCGGCTCCATCTCCATCCCTTTTATCTACTTGGCTTCTGTGTTAGGCTGTGCTAAAAATGTATTTTAGTTAAAAAAAAAAAAAGTTTAATCCTAGCTCTGCTCCAAGTGGGTTGTATCACTTTAAATAACCCCAGAATGGTTTTAAAAGATGCCATTATTACAAGGCTCCTAAAGCCAAATGAGTTTTTTTGTAGTGCCACAGAAGTTTTAATTCCAAAGGAGCACCAATATCTTATTGTGTTGACGTTACCATACAGTCTTTAAACTATCAAAGATCCTTTCTAGTACAAGGTCATTTTCTTCCTCTGAGATACCCGCAAAGTACAAGAGCAGATATTTCATGAGTATTCATACGTGGATTTCATAAAGAACTCAAACCATTCTTTTTCTTCCATAACACTTTTTAAAAACTAATATATAATAGTTGTATTTTTCTTTCAAACCATACTTTCAATAAACACCTACTGAGCACCTAGTAAACACTGGGCGCCACAGTGGTGTGTAACACTGTGAGATGTTCAGTGTGGCTGAGGTTTGGAGTACATGTGAGTGTGTGTGTGAGGGAAGGAGGGGGCCTACTATGAAGTACCTCCAATACCCTTTATCGAGCCCCTCAAATTAGGCCTTTATTCTGAGGGCAAAAGGGAGCCACCAAAGGGTTTTCAAGTGGGGAGTGCCGTGGTCAGATCTCTGGCTGCTGTGTGGAAGATGGATTAGAGCGGCAGAGTCTGGAGGTGTGGAGAGCAGTTGGGGGCTGCCGCAACAGTCCAGGCAAGAAATGATGAGCAGCTAAACTGAGACATGAGAATGAAGAAGGGAAGAGAGATATTAGAGGCAGCATCATCAGGACCTGATGACTCACTGGATGTGAGGCATGAGGGAGAGATTGAACTGGAATTGGTAACTGGGGCATGGTATTACTATTCACAGAGATAAGGAGTGGAGGAAGAGCAGGTTTGGGGGCAAAGATGAGTTCATTTTGGGGCATGATGAGTGTGAAGTACTTGTGAGATATCAAGGTGGATAAGTGCAAGAGACAGGAAATTTAGGTCTGGACACACAGAAATAGGAGTCATTAGTGTTTAGATGGTGGCTGTAGATGAAGTCACCAAAGAGGGCGCAGTGAGAAAAGAAGAGTATTAAACAACAGAACCCTGAGAAACAGGACTGAGACAAGAAACTAACAAAGGGCATTGAGAAAGAATGGTCAGAGACT
Organism: Homo sapiens; assembly: GCF_000001405.40. Taxonomy (NCBI): domain Eukaryota; kingdom Metazoa; phylum Chordata; class Mammalia; order Primates; family Hominidae; genus Homo; species Homo sapiens. The sequence goes on along the minus strand of NC_000009.12, from coordinate 34,974,562 downwards.
AAGGCTGGAAGAGCATCAGTAGAGAAGAAGGTACTGGATACCAAGCAAAGACAGCTGCAGAATGTGGGAGGTAATGTTAACGGTGGTTACACCACTGAGGTGGGATTTTATTGACTTTCTATTTTCTCTCATTTCCATATCTTATGCAATAATTCTCATAAAAATACTTAAATCCTAAAGAAAAGAGAGAGGAATAAAGAAGTAATAAATACTTCAGAGAGATCAAGTAAGAAGATGCCTCAGAAAAGGTCAGTGGACTTGACAATTAGGAGGTGACTGGTGACCTTAGGAAGCAACAGTTCTGCAGAATGATGGATGCAGATGTCAGATTATATGATAGGTGGTTGAAAAACCATAGGAGATGGTGAAATTCTTTTAAGAAGTTTGGCTGTGGGGCCAGGTGCAATGGCTTGTGCCTGTAGTCCCAGCTACTGAGGAAGCTGAGGCAGGAGGATTGCTTAGGTCTAGGAGTTCAAGGCTGCAGTGCTACGATCGCACCACTGCACTTCAGCCAGGTGACACAGTGAGACCCTGTCTCATAAAAAGAAAAAAAAGAAGAAGAAGATTTGTTGGCTGTGAAGGGAAGGAAAGAAAGGAGAGGTACTTGGAAGGAGGCTCTGTAAAAAGCCCAGTGGAGCATGGTGGCAATGATGGTAGGACTGTGTCAGGAAGCTGGGGAGGGAGCAGTGTGTTCCTGGGGGTTAGGGAGGTGACCCCTTCACCCCAGTCCTATAGCAGCAGCACACCGCAAAGCAGAGTGGCCGAGATGAAAGGATGGCATTTGGAAGGGGTGACAGGCACTAGAGAAGGTCGCCGGTACAGCAGGGTCTGCTGCAGTGTACTCCATGGGGACAGGTGTTTCAGTGGCTGAAAATAGCTGTTCCATAACAAGCCATAGAGGAAGAGTTATTTGTTAGAAAGTGGCACATCTCTGCTTTCGTCTAAGCAGCAGGAAGAAGGGGGGATCAGCAGGTGCTCCTCACTCTGAAATCAATAAACAATGACGATATCTGCAGGACAACAGATCAATAAGGCAAGACTTGAACTCTATTCAGGTGTAGTGAGAAATGGATATAAATCTGGCTTTCAATGGAAACCTTAGACTCTGTCCTTCATTAAAAGTTAGAAGGCATTTATATATAATTTGCGAAGTTCTGAATCAATAGAGCTTTGTCATTTAATTCACATAATAACCACTTCAAAGAGGAAGAGCAAATGCTTATGAGTCAGGTGGCAGGCTGAGTGAGGATCTCAGGCCTAGGAAGTTTTCCTGTGATAGAATCTACCCCTACTGGAAGCAAGCTGGTTAGGATCTCAGGTTAGTTTTCATATGGATACAATGAATGACAACTATAGACTATTAGAGAAAGAACTGCTCCAAGCAGAATTACTTTTGAGTAATTAGGCCCCAGTCAATCTCCTAGCTCAGAGGTTCTCTACCGGGGGTGATTTTGCTACCTTCACATTGAGATGTATGCTACCGGCATCTAGGGGATTAAGGCCAGGGTGCCGCTAAACATCCTACAATGCACTTGGCCCCTCAAACAAGTAACTAGCCAGCCTAAAATGTACTGAGGTTGAGAAACCCCATCCTAGCTCTAGGTCTCTTGTATGTACCATTGGAAAAATCTTTTTTTTTTTTTTTTTTTCGAGACAGAGTCTCGCTCTGTCGCCAGGCTGGAGTGCAGTGGCGCGATTTCGGCTCGCTGCAACCTCCGCCTCCTGGGTTTAAGTGATTCTCCTACCTCAGCCTCCCGAGTAGCTGGGACTACAGGCGCGTGCCACCACGCCCAGCTAATTTTTGTATTTTTAGTAGAGATGGGGTTTCACCATGTTGGCCAGGATGGTCTCAATCTCTTGACCTCGTGATCTTCCGGCACTGGCCTCCCAAAGTGCTGGGATTACAGGCATGAGCCACCGCGCCCAGCCCATTGGAAAATTCTTTAGGTCACTGCCTAAAATCAAGTGTTCTAAGACCGGGCCTCCAGGAAAAGTGCCAAGTCCTCTGCTGTCCCTGCAGTCCAGACTTACACAGTAGTGGCAGCTCCAGCCTGTTTCTGTGTGGGCCATCTCCGTCACCTCCGCTGCACTGTCTCCTTGGATGTAGCCCATGCGGCGCAGGCAGCCATCATGGAAAACCCTGGTGCAGACCCTGCACGGGAAGAGGCTCTCAGCTGTCCAGACCTCACAAACATCACACATCTCATCGTTGACAACCTGCAGAAAGATGGCAGGAGGAAACAGGGATGTGTAAATGTAGGCAGCAAGATTCCAAGGCCACTAAGCACAGAGCTACCTGCATGGGGCTGAGTCTTCCCAGATTAGCCTAGAGGAACAGCCCCAACTGAAGCCATTGTTGAGGTTTTCTTTCTGGACGACAAGAACCAGGAGGTCCTTCCAGCTGCTCATGTCTTTGTGACCATGTTTATGAACAGGGAGCTACTAGCACTTTTAGAAAGAACAATCTGTTGTGAGAGATTGTTCCAGGCATTGCAGGACATTTATCATCCCTGCTTTTCTTGGTACCAAACACCAGTAGCCACCTGGTGTTGTGACCTCCCCAAACTCCTCCCTCCCAAATTTCCAATTGCCTCCCGCAGGGTGTAGTACTATCCATGGTTGAAAACCCATGGCAGCGGGGAAGAGGGGGAGGTTCGACAGAAGACCTGCCACAGCATCATTCTTTATCATCCATTGCCCCAAGCCTTTCACTAAGATGAATCCAGGATATAACAAACATTTTATTCTTACAGAAGAAATTCAAAGATTTTTTTGGACTCAGCTCCATTTTTCCGGTTTTGAGGATCACCTTACCCACATCCATCTTCCCTGTCCTGCTCCCTGATGCACTAAGACTTGAGGATCCTGTCCTAACTGGATACTCACAGGCTCTCTGGGCTCCAGGCAGATTTCTGGAGGTTTGTCATCATCCAGCTTCCGGGTGGGGCGGATGAACGCAGGGGGTGTGAATCGACTTGTCCTGTCAAACTCCTCAGGCTCCACGCCGCGCCCATCTCGGAGCCGCTCCCAGGCTGCGCGGCCGGCACTACTCTCTTCCTGGACCACCGAGGTTCCTGCTTCTGCTTCCTTCTCCTCCTGTACCTCCTGGACGGAGCCCTCTACAGTGCCACGGCGGGACCCTGGCAGCTCACCTGTGCGTCGGATGGAAGGCCTGTCCCGCAGCCCATCCTTGAAAGCAGACACAGCCAGACTCACCTTCTGCACCTGCTCCACTGTCTGCCGCTTGGACATCAACACCCCCATGGCTCTGTGGACAAAAAGCAGAGGGGCACAGGTTCAGCCAATGGCTGAGGATGTCAGGCTAATCAGTTTCAACCTAAGTGGCAAGGGCTATTAAACAGTTTCTCCCTCTTCTAGAACATGGTGGGGGTGGAGACAGCACATGTTAAGGATCAGAAGATGTTGGTTCTACTTCTTTCCTAAATTTTATTTATTTATTTATTTAATTTATTTATTAGAGATGAGGTCTTACTATGTTGCCCAGGCTCTTCTTGAACTCCTGGGCTTTAGTGATTCCCTTGGTTCAGCCTCCTAAGTAGCTGGGATCACAGGCCTACCACCTTGCCTGGATGACTTTGGTTCGATTTCTGACAGGCCTTGCAACTTTGGTTTTCCCATCTATGGAATGAGGGCTATTTCCCCAGCCCACTTCACAGGGATGTTACAAGGATAATGTAAGAAAATGGGCATAATGGTGCTTCGTAGACTGGAAAGCACTCTACGTGCATGAAATGATATCTCTGTCTCCCTTCCTGTCCTAAAACCAATTTAGTCCAGGGGTCCTACACCTCTGCTACTTCGAAATGGTTGGAGACTTCAGAATCCAAATTTCTCCTCTACCCTGCAAGAAGACTCAAGGCTTAAAGCAAGCTGGCAGCAACACAGTTCAGGCCTTTTGAGACAAGAAAAGCTCCTTCAGTAGGTGCCATGAACAATCCATCTGGGGCTAATCCTCATCAAATGCCTACTTTTTAAGTCAATGAACTCCTAGTTTTAGAGGACTCCTGAATTAGTCAGTAAGGAAACTCTGCCACCCGTATCCATGTGGTCAAGGTCACACAAACACTCCTTTGCCCCCTCTCATTAGTAGCTGTGCCTCTCTGTGGGTCTGCTTATCTATTACAGACACTGGCCTATTACAAAGCTCTAAGGTACCTCTCACACTTCTAAGGCTGCGCTGTCACTCCCACATTTTCTGCTTTAATTCTTCTGAACTGTTCAAGAAAGGTCCATATCCTTTACAGGTTAAAAAGTAACATCAGACCTGCTCTTCTCTGTGGTACCAGAGCACAGCATTGGACAGTGAGGGCATGACAGGGCACATTGCAAAGCTGGTCTGCTATTTCCTAGCCTGAGGAGACTTAGTGGAAGTCAGCTGGGGAATTCTTTTTCTAAGTAAAGTGGAGCAGAGTCCATTTTAGCCTTGCTCTCAATCCATTCTAATCAAGGCTTATTGAACAGTATTATGTGCAAGGCACTAACTGCTCATCATAGGAAACAGAAGACAGGAGAACAGTCTCACCACTCAAGCTACTTAATATTAGAAACCAAAGAAGTCAAAGTGCTGAGAGTACCTAAAGGAAGGCGAGACCCACCACACTACTGGTGGTCAAAGTGGACCTTGAAGGATGCACAGGCGGTTATGCTCAGTTTGTTTGGGGGAAAAGGTGACAGCGGGTAGGAGGAGAAGTAAGGCCAGTTCGAAGGTTACTGTTAATATCATAGTCCAGACAAGAGGTAGAGGGTTTAAATGGAAATGATGATAGCAGGAATAATACTGACTGAGTGTATCTGTTACCATGGAAATAGAATTAGGGAAATCTAGGAATAAATTGATAATTGATTGGATGAAGGATAAAGGGAAAGAGGGCAGTTTTTTGTTTTTTTGGTTTTTTTTTTTTGAGACAGAGTCTCGCTCTGTCGCCCAGGCTGGAGTGCAGTGGCACGATCTTGGCTCACTGCAACCTCTGCCTCCTGAGTTCAAGTGATTCACCTGCCTCAGCCTCCTAAGTAGCTGGGACTACAGGCACATGCCACCATGCCCGGCTAATTTTTTGTATTTTTAGTAGAGACGGGGTTTCACCGTGTTAGCCAGGATGGTCTCGATCTCCTGACCTCATGATCCGCCCACCTCGGCCTCCTAAAGTGCTGGGATTACAGGCGTGAGCCACCGTGCCTGGCGAAAGAGGGCAGTTTTAAATGGACTAACTAGAAGAATGGTAGTGCCACTTACAGAAATTGGAAATAAGAGGGATAATTAAATTGGATTTTGTATATGTTGAATTAAAGATGTCCCTGGGACATTCAGGTGTCGAGTTATCCCCTGATTAAAACTTTCAGTGCTTCCTTCAGCTTTCAGGAGGAAGTCCCCACAATCAGTCTCTTTACTGTGGCCTGTGAGGCCCTGCATGGTCTGGCCTCCCTTCTTTACTCTGTGTCCCAACCATAATGGCCTTATTTCAGTCTTTATTTGCTATACTCCCTCTGTTTTGGGGAAGTTTGAACATTCCTCCCCACCTGACTAGTGCCTATTTGTCTATCAGAGCTAAGGCTCAAGTCTCATTTCCTTGGGGAAGTCACTGCTGACTCCAGTCCAGGTCGGAGTGCTCACAGCACCATGCCCTTCTGCTCTGGGCACTTACCTTCATCATTACATATTCAATAGGATGATTACTGATCAATGTCAGTTTCCCCTATTAGACTGTTTTATCCCACACAGTACTTATCTCCACTGCCTAGCAATGTGTCTGTCTATTAAGCATCTAACAGAATAGATTCTTAATAAACATTTTCCAATTAGCTAATTAATTGTGGAGAATTCCTTTTACTTTTAAAAATGAAACCTTAATACATGTACTATCTGATGACAGCCCCATCTTCTTTTCGGAAACACTGCTTGTATGTGCCACAGTGGTGCGAACTCCTACACTGCTCACGTGCTTGCCTTGCCACTACTACTACCAAGGAAATTCATATTCTTGAATTTATAAACTGATTGATAGGAAAGGAAAGAACCACCTCCCCGACTCCATTTATAAATTTGTTTGTAAAACTGAAGTATGTGACGAAGGAACATTGACTTTAAATACTTAATACTGCCTTAAAGGGCAGTGGCACAGGAGATTTATTGAAGAAAGATTTATTGAGCACATTCAGGAAATCATTTAGGGTATTCATGCCTCAGTGGACAACTAAGAATAAATTGTAATTAAAATGAAAATATCTTAATCCCCAAATAAATTCATAAAAAATTGTGATTAAGAAATCTTTTTTTCATTAGCTGGAAACAAATATTAAGCAATAGGGAAATAAATTACGTACCACGAAAGACTAAACAACACGGAAAACACTGAGGTAGAAGTATATTTATTGGTGGGAAAGATACTCAAAATATGCAAACATATTAACAAAAATAGCAAGTTACAAAAATGCTCATGTTATGATCTAATTTTTGTACTGTATGTACTTTTAATCTTTTTGTAATCTATATTTTCCAATTCTCCCACATTGCACATTAATTAGATAATAAAACAAATCCTAGGGTTGGCAACTTGATGACTTGTTTTTGTTTTGGGTCCCCTGTTCTATGATTCAGAACCTGTTGCTGGTTGCTTTGGGCTTTAGTTCTCTGTCTGTTAATGAGTGTATTTGGAACATATAGTCTGAAGCATTTAGAATGCTCATGTTGTTTTTCATCTTCTTTTAAAAGTTCATATGATCTAATGAGGGAATCTAGCCAGGGTGGGGTGGGGATGGAGAGAAGAGTATGTATATGTTAAATTTTTTGCTGAGGCTTTGGACCCAGTGGGTTCTTGAAGTGACAGGGCTGGCCCTGTAGTCCCCAGATGCTGCTCAAATGCCTCATGGGCAACAGCGTGTTCGATGGCTGGGTGGGATGCAACTCCCCAACTTACAGTGACAGAGGTACCCCAAGAGAGAAAATACAAAACTGACAGATAATTCTTCATATTTTTATTTGAGCATATTTTTATTATGAGCAATTACATTTTCCAGACCACTAGGTTTTCCTCAGAAACCCCAAGGCATGTTTCTCAAAACTTTCAACTGTGGCTCAGAGTAAGAAATATATTTTTTGTGATAACCCTGTAGACACATGTGTTTATAGATCTGCAACTGAAGTCAAAATTTTGTGGAACAATCATACTTTTACTACATGTGATGCTCCCTGATATTTTCTATCCTATTTCATTAAAACAACCCTGATAGTGACTCTCTGAAATGATTTCATGACCTACTAATGGATTTAAATCTGCAATTTGAAGAACGCACCTCTAAAAGACAAGGATATAAGGAAAGTGCTGCCCTTAACTGATGTGGTGAAAGATGAACAGTTTATTCAAGCTTCTCTTAGGAGTCTGTGTGGTTGGAAGATCCACCAGAGATGGACAGCTACTAATATACCTCTGACTAAAGAAAACCTATTGTATCCAAGAGGCTGATGCTCTTTCACCTGTGGGTATATGTAAAAAAAAAAAATTTAGCTAGGCATAGTGGCACATGCCTGTAATCCCAGCTACGTGGGCAGCTGAGGTGGGAGAACTGCTTGAGCCCAGGAATTCAAAACCAGCCTGGCCAACATAGCAATACCTCATCACATTAAAAAAAAATGATTGATTGGAGCATTCTTTTTACAGTGATTAAAAAGATGGAAAGAAATTGGGCATGGTGATTTGCTCCTATAATCCCAGCTACTCGGGAGGCTGAAGCATGAGGATTGCTTGAGACCAGGAGTTTGGGTCTGTAGTGTGCCATGACTGTGCCTGTGAATAGCCACTACACTGAAACCTGGGCAACACAGTGAGACCCTGTCTCTTAAAAAAGAAAAAAGGTGGAAACAACCTCAATAGGGAAATTACTGAATAACTTGTGATATATTCATGCTATTAAAAAAGAGAAAAAATGATTTAATTATTTATTTTGAGATGGGGCGAGGGGGGGGGTCTCGCCATATTACCCAGGCTAGTCTCGAACTCCTGCACTCAAGCAATCCTCTCACATAGCTGGGACTACAGGTCATGATTGATAATTTTTGAAAAATTTCAAGCAATCCTCTCACATAGCTGGGGCTACAGGTCGTGCTAATTTTTGAAAAATTTTTAAAGAGACAGGGTCTTGGTATGTTGCCCAGACTTGTTGATAACTCTGGGGCTCATGTGATTCCCTGCCTCAGCCTCCCAAGTAGCTAGGATTATAGGTTCCAGCCAGAGTGCCCAGCTTGATTTAATTTTTTAAACACAACAACCAGAGCAATGATTCTCAAGTGGTGAATTGGCTGGATCCTGTGGCAGGTGGGAGGTGTATATCAGAAACTCCGGGAGGAGGGGAGAAATAAGTGAGTTTCAAGAGCTTATCAATTATGTATTTATATTTGGAAAACAAGTATTAAAAACCATCTCTGCTTTTTTTGTGTGTGTGACATAGACTACAAAACAGTGAGTTTGACAGTATCTTCTTTGTTCTTAGGGCTATACGGAAGGTACTAACTCTCCAAATAGTTGGAGGCAGCCTCCTCCCAGGAGTTATATCACAAGTTTTAGGGAACAGTCAAGAGACTTTTATGTTTATCAGAAGGTCTGATAAACACTGGAAAAAAATAGTTGAGAAACACTTATTTGGAGATCTGGAAAAAAAATACTAAATTCACATTTTCAAGAACGATTCATTAGAGGAAAACCAATGGTATGCCTTTGTTTTTGGCTTTTTCAGATGCTTTAATAAAAGTTATTGAACAAAGACCAGCCAGTTAGGAAGTTACTCTATAAATGAACTTACTCATTAACAGAGAATCATCAAATTAATCACAGACACCTCCCAACACACTGTAGATCCGCTACAACCCATTATTAACTGTAAGGATACCATTATTCTTTATAAGGATACCAAGAATAGCTATGAAGCTATCTCCATGGTCAACTATGTCATTGCAATGGTTTTGGGAGTTTATCCTTAAAGCAATTTCTATGAAGACTGAAGCTGACATCTACTAGCAAAACAAACATAAAAACAAACGCTTTCCAGTCCTAAGCACAGGCTCTTGGAGCACTGCTATTCCTTTTAGCTGAGATGGTTCAATCTTGTAGACCATTTTATGCCTGTAAGGGCAGAAATGCAAAGTAGAACTATTCACAGTAAACCATCAAAATCCAAACAAGACCATCAAGTCATTTTGAATTGACATGACTTTGACTTTGACAGTAAACTGTGAAGACACAACAGAATTCAGCTTTAAAAGCGAGTCTAAAACTCTTAATACTTAATGGAGAGGATCAAAACTGTATACAAAAGACACTTTGATTAAAAGTGTGTGTGCTGAAATATCCAAAAAGTGCACCTGGGATGTTTGAGAACTTAACAAAATCAGCTCAAATTTTTAGAGAAACAAGTGGTAGTGATTGGTGCCAGGTAAAAACAAATGCTTGTGGATAAAAACCTGGCCTCTCCTGTGCTGGAATAAGTCCTAGGAAAAAGAGAGAGTTAAAAGGAAATCAAGTTGCAAAGATCCCACAAATTATACCTAATGATTACTTCTTTCGCTGGTGGGTGGGACTGGGGGTTTCTGCCTCCCTAAAAATGACGAAAAGAGGCCAAAAAGATATTGTCCCAAGAATTATGTGGCTGTCAGGGAATTTGTGGTATCTAGGGAAGGCCTGGAAAAAAACTCAGGGGAGAGGAGCAGGTGATGGTATATAACAGCGGGACAAGAAGGTGGAATAGGGCCGTCTGACTTCATGAACTGGAAGAAATGAAAACAGCAACAAGTAGAATCTGTCTTGGGTAAGAGAAGCATGTCTAGATGTGTTTGTCAGGCAGTAAGACATTTGTGGGCAGCTTGTAATGTTTGCAAGACACACCCATTTTCTGCAGAGCACCTGCTTAGAATTCAGCGGGATTATTAATAAGGGCAAAGTGGTGGGAGTAAGAGGAGGAGGGGCTGCTCTGGAGCAGGAGCTGATAGAGAAATAAGGAAGGGGAAGGAAGCTGGGGAGCCTCTATTTCCCAGCACTCTGTATAAAGATTCAGAGCTGTGGAGAGCCTGAAGGGCAACACTCCTAATAGGCAGGAGTTTCCTCATGCAGCCTGTTAAATGTAAAGTACATTTACTGATTTTCTCTTCTTAAAATTTATGTTTTCAGATGGAGGGTGGTTCTAGGGTCTCACTATGTTACCCAGGCTGGCCTCAAACTCCTGGGCTCAAGTGATTCTCCTGCCTCAGCCTCCCGAGTAGCTGGTTCAATCTGATTCTTGGTATGGGGATGGAGGCTATTTAAAAGGCTCACAAGCAAGTAAAAGTGGCTGCCTGGAGGTTAGGGCTTCCCTAGGAAGGAACAAGGCAAAGAAAACCTCTGAGTGAGGGGAAAGGGAAAGACAACCAAAGAGAATAGGTTGAGCAAGTGGAGTAAAGGAATCTGTGTTTCACTGAGATCAGGAGGGAGAAAAGTAGAGATGGTTCTTACTGACTTCCACAGAGCATGTGAATTAAAGTGTCTTTTGTATACAGGTTTGATCATCTCCATTAAGCATTAAGGGTTTTAGCCTCTTAAATCTTTGTTGAATGAATGATGCAGAGATGACTGGGCAACATAAACAATTTATTTAAGATCATAGTGTCTTTTCTCTTTATCAAATTGGCCAGAGACTAATGAGACCAAATCTCCAAAACTCAATTCTAGAAACTATGCAGTCACCAGCTCACATCATCACATCTACTCTACTTCCCAAGAGGTGGCACCTGGACAGTGAGTCAGGGCTAGCAGGGATGAGAACACGAGGATGATTTCTCTCTGACTACAGAGGAGAGTTAAGAAATTCTGCAATTTAGCCGGTTTCTACAATCACAATGGTAAGAAAAGAGAAGCCAGTATTACCAAAGTCAACAGTCCCCTGCATTTATGCTGTGTCCTGTGGACTATGGTGAGGCCCACAGGAGGGCAGTTGCCTTAAGGACACAAGTAGAAAGTGTGAAAATGCACTTCCTTTGTCCTGGGTTTGAAATTTAGCACGAGCAGTATCTGCACATACAAGTGAAAAATTTCAAGGTGGTCAACAATTGGCTCCTGGAAGCATGTGCCCAAAGGGCTGAGAGCCTTAGGAAAAGCCATATGCCTAACACAGAAGGTGACCAGCTGCAAGAGTGTGGAAAATCAACACAACCAGGGTCTGTAAAAAAACAAAACAAACGCTGAATGCATAGCACAGACTCTGAGCTTACTGTGAACATCAGCATCAACCTCAAGATTTTAAGCAAAAAAAAAAAAAAAAAAACCATCAAAAAGAGTTCTCGTGCGGGTCTTTGAGGAAATCCAAGCCCCGAGGGGTCCGATTGTTCTCCAGTGACTGGCTGTTGCTTTAGGAAATTCCAGTGCCTCACTACAGTGCTCTTGGAGCCTGTTCCTACTCAGACATTTTGTCACCTGGCAGTAGCCTAGAAACTAATTTTAGTATTCATGTTTGTAGACCCTGAAAGGTCTACCTGGTACCTCCCCACCTCTCTTCATTCAGCCTGTTTATTCAGGATGAGACAGTCACAACTACATGGGGCTTTTCTGGGGTTTCCAAGGAACAGAAAGGCTAGACAGAAAAACTGTCTTTCTGGCCTCAGCTCAAGACTACAAGGCATCCTGCTGCTGTTTAATATTTACTGAAAGCTCACAAAGTTCTAATATAGATGAGAGCAAAATTATGGCATGAGCTTAGCCTCTTAGGGCCTGAGTCTTCATTAAAAGCCACAGTGCTGACTTCCCACAGAGGCAGAGCAACAGTTAAGGAACATCACACCATCAGTGATTGGCTGGTGAGACTGCACTTAGCAAGCAGAGCTTTTCAGCAAGATGGAGAGGCACTCCCTGTTTTCTGCTCTGGTTCCCTGAAACACAGATTCAGCCCCATGTAATGCAATTATTACACCTTAATTATCACCATTTACTTCTCTGTTGATTCTGCAAACTTTCGCCGAGTACAGCCTACTATGCGTCAGGCACAAATCAGGTGCTTAATAACTGATGGTAGAATGAACAAATGGAAGCTCATTCAGCCTGTGAGAATGCAGTGAGTATGTGCGTGTGCAGGGGGCATAAGTGTAGGATTGAAAAAAAAAAGGTGTTGCTTGAGCTAAATTTTGAATATGAGTAGGAGTTACATCAGTGGATAAGGAAAAAAAAAAAAAGCATTCCAGGAAGAGGTAACAGCACATGCCAAGGCATGGAGCTATATGGGGACTCCATCATGACTTAGATGGTATGAAGCCAGCCTGGGGGCTAGATAGAAATAGGCAAGGAAACGTGTCTTCACATAAGAATTAGCATCAGCCCAAAGAACTGGTTTGAGATAGTATGCTTAAAATATTTGTTAGAATATGTATTTGAGTTTCAAGGAGGAAGAAAATCCCAGAGAATTGGATTTGCTGAGGCCAGGAAGAGGGACTGCCCTGATAAGTTCCAGCGCTGACCAGTGAGTGCATTGTTTGGCCTTAGGACCCAACAGGAAACTCCTTCGCAACCTAAGAGCTCGTAGGTGGTGACTGTAGTGAATCACTGGGGCTTTCCCTCTGGGAGACTCCTAAGCCTCAAAAAAACAAACATACAAAAAGAGAGAGAGCCAATTAGCCCACACAGCTCTGCTTCAGTGAGAGGACCCCAGTAAGATGAAGCATTTCTCAAAACCAAACAGCCAACATATATCTAAAAGGGCTTCATAAACTGTAACATGCTATCTAAATAAAAGGTTCTGTCATTACTATCATAAGGAAGGCAAAAATGTGGTCAGTTTACACTCAGAGTATATGGGCAAAAGTAATTTTGGCAGGGCACTGGCAGGAGGGCTGAATGTGGCTGCCAGAGGAGGCATAGCACAGCAGCTGAGTTTCAGTGATGCTTGGGAAAAGGCATACTCTATATTGGTTCCTGTGGATATTCTGTAATGCCATAATTTCCCCCTTACTTTTCCTACTCTTTATAGTGAATGATTAGAGAAATGCAGACTGATTCTATGTGAACTCCTCAAGGGCAAGAAACTCTCATATTTATCTAGCATAGTGCCTGGCAAGTAAGTAGCACTTAGTAAATGTAAGTGAGTCTCTGAGGGGATTGCTGGAAGAGTGGGGAGAATGGAGGGGGATGTGCTAATGGAAAAAATAATCATGTCTTCAGCTGGACACTGATGGTCTTGGTTTCTTGGTCCAAAGCTGGCAAGCAATTCCTGTCAGAATTTGGTCATTAAGATTGAGGGGTGGAGTGGATAATGATATTCCCATCAGAAATGAATAAATCAATTTGGGACATGAAGATAGCAGAAGCCAAGCAGCACTGCTGGAGAGAAGCGTGTGGGACTAAAAGATAATAGATTCTGTAGCTAAAGAGAAGGGAAACTATTTGCATGAATGTGATTCACTTAGGAACAGGTGTAGTGGAAAAAATTGCAAGGAGTCGGGGAAATGGGCCTGGGGAGGTCTTACTATCCATGTTGAAGGAAAGGAATGGCAAATGTTAGAAGAAGACAATGTTAGAAGATTGGAGAATATGTGAAAGATCAAAGGTTGAGAAATCCAGACAGTAAAATCCAGACACATTTGGGTAAGCTCAAATGAAACTGGGTGAGCCGTTCTCTCCCCTTTTATTTCCCTTTGGAGAGAGCATTTTTGAGAAGGTTAAGGCCACCTGGTGACATCTTTCGTGCACATTCTGGAATGATTTGATTTGCAGACTCATGCTGTGACTAGGGAGAGTTAGGCTGTATTCTTAGGATTTTTGAAATCTTAATTTTACCCAATGCTGGACATGGGGAAGCTGATATCCAAGGTCCAAGATTAGGGGAGAGCCTGGATCCATTTAGTGATTTTTCCAGGGTCATGAGTGGGTGTGATAATAAGCACCCTCAACAAAAGACCAATTTAGGAATAAAACCTCAATGACAAATCAATGATCTGGAACAAAGATCATATCTTCAGGTTTGGTCCTTCTGACTTTCTTTAAATATATGCCTACCTATTTATTCTGATCTGTTAAGCTGATCAGATGGGTTTGAACTGAAAGGGGGATTATAAACAACTTTACAATGGGGAGGTCCTAACCAACAAAAACCTTTGTCGGGCTTTACTCCACTGAGTTGCGCGCAAGGTAGCATCACTGAGTTAAAAGAAAAAAAATCTAACAACTGGTAAACTATGTTGTTCTGTTTTCCCACTAGCTTGGTCTCTCTCCTCACTATGTAATTCCAGGAGCCAAAGGAAGCCACTTCTGTTCAAGGAGGATTTAACTAGGTTTGACTGTGTGGAAGAAAGCAGGGAAGGGGAGCAGGAAAACCCTTCCAGAATGGCTCTAATGAATATCATTGCTTGGCCCTCTCACCACTCCGTTTTTGGACAAGAAACCAGAATCCATCCTTGGAGCTCAAAGTTGAACTCTTGGGATTCAGCTAGAATGAAAACAACGAGGGGGCGAGATGAGGAGGCAACACTATGTCTGGCGCAGACCCTTTGCGCTCCCCCTAACAGACTCCCAGTGAGCCTTCCTTGGCTCTGCACCTTTCCTGTCCTCCTCCTCCTCATGCAGAGGCACTCTTGGGCAAAAGTGTCCTGAGTGCTATCTGTGGACCATTGTCCACCGGTGCATGTAGTCAGAGGGTCACAAGGACAGTGTGGATCGTGCTTCCTAAAAGTGATCCTGTCTCTCCTTTCTCTCCTTCGAGTATTCGGTAGCAGGTAGGGTGGTCTTGGGACACTCCATCCGCAGAAGGGTCCCCCTAGATCCCCAGAGAAAGCCCTGTCAAAAACCACACCCAGAGGCCTCAATTAGGTCCAGAGCCACCCCAAGGCATCATGACAGTGGGACTGCCAGTGAAGGAAGCCACACCCTGAAATCTGGGGATTCTGTGGAAATCAGTTCCTGCAGCAATCTCATGGCCAGTTAAACTGTCCTCATCCACTTATTTAATCATCACATTTACTGAGCTTGTACCACTGCAAAACCCTATGCTCGGCAGGCACCTTAATGCAACTTATTAACAAATATCTATTCTTTCTTCTGCTGCTCCTTAGTACTTTTTCCCAAATAAAATTTGAAAAACATTTTATGATTATGTTTTTCATCAGCTTTGTGACCTTGGGCAAATTGCTAAACCTCTCTGAGTCTCAATGTTTAAAAGGGGATAATTTCACAAAGCTGTTGTAAGAGTTATATGAGATGTTTAAACATACCTAGTATACTGCCTAGCGTACTGGTGCTCAACAATCCCATACATCCTTTATTCCTTCCTTCAAAGGCCTTTCCCTCCAGGACCTGCCAAAGTCAGTTATTCCACCTGATCTTACTGCTTCCTTCCGCACGGTCAAACCTAGGGGCTCAAATCTCCTATCTTTGCTTTAGAGGCCTCACTGGTCCTCATCCTCGGCTTAGGGCCCTGTGCTCTCGCAGCAGTTTCTGTCTCCACTAAAATGCAGCGTGGAGCAACTGGGCTACCATGGAGAAGAAAAATCCGAATGGGGAAAGAGGAGGAATGGAAAGAGGCTGCAGCCCTAGAAGGCCCCCACCTCTGGGCCACGGTGTGGGGATACAAGTAAGGGCACATGGAACCCTACAGGGATCCCGGTGGAGGCCAAAGTCCTTGGAGCCGTGGGAAGTCACTCATGGATCCCATGGGAGGATCCCCCTCCCCAGTCAGAGGTTGCTTCCCACAGTTCTAGGGCACAGTCTCAGGTCCTCCTTTTCTAGGGAGCCCTCTGGGGGCTCCACCACCTCGAGGTTCCTGCGGCTCCCCTATGTTCCCAGGTGGTCTTCCATTGAGCCAGCTCCAGAGACCACCCTTGTGCCTGCTCCCACAGTGACACAGAAGGGCTCTCTGGGGCCAGTCCCCTCCACGCTGGGGCTCCCTATGGCAGCAAATGCAGACAGCGCCGCGGGAGTCCATTCCCACAGGGGGTCTTTATGGGGGCGGCTCCCCACAGCACCTCAGGGACTCCCCCAAGGCGTAGAGGCAGCAGCTACTTGGGGTTCATCCAATGACACAGGGGGGCCACCTTGGAGGCGGCTCCCACACAAGCACCTCAGAGTCCCGGAGGACTGTCCGCGGCCGCAGACCCGCCCCTCAGGTGACGGCCCGGTCCCCGCCGCCCCCGCCCCCGCTTACCGGGACCGTCCGGGTGCGGGACGCGGCTCCGGGGCGGCGGACTCTACACACCGCGGGCCCCGCGCAGCCCACGGCAGCCCGAGAGCCGGCGTGCTGGGCCGAGCGCCGGCAGCAGGCGGCGCGGGCGGAGCGGCAGGCTGAGGAGGCGGCGGCGGCGGCGGCGGCGGCGGCGGCGCGCGCGGCCGGAGCACACCCACCCGCCCCGGGGGGCTGCGGCGTGTGCACCCGCGCGAGGTGCCCTGGGCCGGCCGGTGGGCGCGCCCCGCCCCGCCCAGTCCTCTTGCGCCTCCAGGAGACGCCCTCGCGGCTCCGCGGGCGGCGGGTGACCGGCGACGGGCGCGCGGGCGTGGGGCGCCGTGGGAATGCGGGAGGACGGCGGACGGCTCCGATGAGCAGACGGCCCAGGTGCCCGTGGGCGCCCCCCACGAGCGCCCGGCACTGCGGCGCGGGGACTGCGCCAGCGGCCGACTGCGGCAAGGACAGTGCCCGCCCGGAGGAGGCGGCCCGGAGGGGGCGCCTTGGGGGCGCTGGGGCCGCTCACCGCTCGCGTTCCGCGCCGGGGGTTGGGTGGGGGGAAGGCGGGGTCCGGGTGGATGCCGCCACCAGCACGTGCCCGGGGTGGGGAGAATGACTCATCCAGCAGGGCCTACCAGCCGTCCCCCGCAGGGCTCCGGGCTCACGACCCCTGGCACTGGGGCACTCACCTTTGCAGTACCCCACTGGCCTCCGGAGGGTCCCAACGAACCTTCACATAATCCTCGGCTGGCCCAGCCTACCCTATGCGCTGTTTTCTGGGATTATTGGTTTTTCATCTCCAGCAGCGAGGCTGTGCTGTCGTGTAACCCACTTTTTGCTGCAGCAACCTCATCCCTCACAATATCCAAACAGCTAGCTTGTCAGAAGGCCAGCAATTCTGAGGGCTATAATGTGCATTACACCAAACTACATGCTTTGAAGAGGGCAAGAAAAAGATAAAATCGTAAGATAGCCAGCAACTAATTATAAGGAAAAATTGAAGATATGCAAATGATATGTCGAGAGCCCTTTAATTTATATTAATTGCACTTACATTTTTAAAATACCTTTATTTTCTTGTGCATTCAATTTATTTACCTCAAATATAATGCATGTCATTTTTTTGAGCGTCTAGTATTTGTTACATACTGTGCTAGGTACCCTGGTGCGATATAAAAAAGAAATTTTGCCCTTAACATGGAATTTACCAATAGAGGATATAAGGCAAGTATGGTATATTTCTATCACTTTAAAACACGAAGTGCCAGGTACTATTCTAAATGGTTTAAATATGTTGTCATTAATTTTCACACCATCCCTTTGAGGGAGTCTACTGTTAGTTTCGACATTTTGCCAGTGATGAAACTGAGGCAAAGAGAGGTTAAACAACTCGCCCAAGGTCACATGGCTAATATGTGATGGAGGTGAGACTGAAATTCAGGTATTCTGATTTCATACCGCAAGCTCCTATTTCTCAGTCCTGCCACTGAGAAAGGAGAGGCTATAAACCATTAATATATGGAGTTCTAAAATTAGTACTTATTAGTTCTAAAATTAGTGCTTATTTCTCAAGAGACACTATGGTTATTTTGCTTGTTGTGAAACTAGCACTAAAAAGCAGACTGAGCCTTCCATATAGTCTGGGGGTCCCCCCCTAACTTTCTTTAGAATTACATCATACCGACAGTTTCACAGATAGACTTCTCTGAACTGTTTTTAGTAAGTGTTTTATTTCTAGGCTGTCTGATGGGCTTATATGGAAAAGGAGGTTGTAACATCATCATATAAATCTCTGTCGGTTAATTCCTTCCTTCATTCAAAAAAATTTATATTGTGGCCAGGCGTGGTGGCTCACGCCTGTAATTCCAGCACTTTGGGAGGCCGAGGCAGGTGAGTCACCTGAGGTCGAGACCAGCCTGGCCAACATAGTGAAACCCCACCTCTACTAAAAACACAACAATTAGCCAGGTGCAGTGGCACGCGCCTGTGGTCCCAGCTACTCGGGAGGCTGAGGCAGGAGAATCTCTTGAATCCAGGAGGCAGAGGTTGCAGTGAGCCAAGATCGCACCACTGCATTCCAGCCTGGGTGACAGAGCGAAACTCCGTCACACACACACACAAAAGTACATTGTGTATCTGTACAATGCCAGGCATTGTGCTGAGAACTAGAAAGGGTGCAAATAAGAGTAAGACACAGTACTTTCCCTCAAAGAACTATAATCTCATAGAGGACAAGCATTGACAGAGAACCATAATCATAATACAAAAGAGAAAATCAGTGTGCGCAATAGAGGAATGAAATACAATGGAAGTTCCAAGGTGGGAGAGACAGATTACTTTATGAAGGGAGGTACTTGGGTTAAGGAATGCATAATGACCATTTAAATTATTGTTGGTATTAAAACATTAAAAGTCATATCAAAATTTATCAATTTCATTTTTTAATTACATGCAGTTTTTCTCATGTTGAGGAGAGACAGCTTTTACTACGTTATTGTTCAGAGAATGGAGAGGTTAGAAAGTGCAAACTTTTTGGAGGTAGTTTATGCAAGTGGAGGACACAGAATTATGCACAAGATAAGATTTTCAAGGTCAAAGGAATAGCAAAAGAAAAAGCAAGGTGGGATTGAATAAGGTTGGTCTGGGGGCAGCTGGGACTCTGACAAGGTGAAAGGGTTGCTAGAGAGCAGCCTGTACCACTCTTTTTTTTGAGACAGAGTCTCATTCTGTTGCCCAGGCTGGAGTGCAGTGGCTTGATCTCGGCTCACTGCAACCTCCGCCTCCCAGGTTCAAGCGATTCTCCTGCTTCAGCCTCCCGAATAGCTAGGATTACAGGCATGTGCCACCACACCTGGCTAATTTTTGGATTTTTGGTAGAGACGGGGTTTCGCCATGTTGGCCAGGCTGGTCTTGAACTCCTGATCTCAGGTGATCTCCCTGCCTCGACTTCCCAAAGTGCTGGGATTACAGGTGAGCCACTTGCGGCTGGCCCTAGCCTGTACCAACCACTCTTAACTGTCTTTACAAGGTAGGGACTGTTTTCAACTTTCTTTTCTTTTTTTTTTGCATATTCTTGGCTATGGCAAACATATGCCAAAAATATTCTGAGGTGGTCTGAGTTCAGATATTTATGACCATAAGTTTTTGGGCTTATAAGATTGACAAATACGGTTACCACCATGTTAATGTCTAGAAAGTAGAGAATATTGTTCTGGCTGGGTATGGTGGCTCACACCTGTAATCCTTGCACTTTATGAGAGCGAGGTGAGAGGGTCACTTGAGCCCAGGAGTTTGAGACCAGCCTGGGCAACATAGCAAGAAACAATCTTTCACCTCCAGCAGCGAAGCTGTGCTGTCGTGTAAAATTATGTTAAAAAATAATACTTAAAGAGAATATTGTATGCTCAACTAATATGTAATAAAAAAGGAGTTGGGAAAGGAAGGGAAGGCTATTTGATAAGTAACTAAATTCTTAGATGTTTTAATATGGTAGATAATAGAGAGCCTCTATAAGTTTTTGTTTTTGCTTTTTGAGACAGGGTCTTGCTCTGTCATGCAGGCTGGAGTGCAATGCACTATATGTGTTTTTTTCCTTATAAGTTTTTGAGCAGAGTAGTAACATCTTAAGGACCATCCTAAGCATTTAGAGTATTATCTTTTAGATAAAGGACTGAATGAGAGTGTGTATGCTCTTTTGTCTGTAAACAGATTGTAAAAGTATAAACATGAAGATGAGACTAATTTCTCTTAGGCCTTAGACAAAAACCTGTTGGGATATTAAAGAGACTGTGGGGGGAAATCAGAATGCCACCAAACTCTCTGTTGTCCTCATATTCTGATGGTGAGCTCATGTAGAAGAGAATCTGTGCAACCTTTTTGCTTGCAATACACATCTCTTGGGGCCACTGCCTAGCACACAATTCCCCCTTTGTTGTGAATGGCTTCAGTGCACAAGGACAAAGCCCCAGTGGCCTTCTCAGATTTAGGGCATTCATCCCTTGGCTGCCGCTAATTGATCCAGAGGTAGACACCCAACCAAAGTTGGTGCAATTATACTCACTCAGGAACTTGAAACTCCAAACACAGAAGCAAAGAGCCTGAGAATTGTGGTACGTACATTAGTGACAGTGTGTCCTGAAGTAAAGACCTACCCACTGCTGCTGTGGGTCCCTGCTCTTCCTACGTCTTGGTTCTTCTGATCCTTCCATCCTTTGTGTGTGTGTGTGTGTTTGTTTGTTTTTTGAGAAAAGAGTCTTGCTATGTTGCCCAGGCAGGTCTCAAACTCCTGGGCTCATGCTATCCTCCTGCCTCTGCCTCCCTAAGTGTTGGGATTACAGATGTGAGACACCGTGCCCATCTCTTCTATCCCTTTGAATGCTTCAGCCAGCCTGTGGGTTTCCATTGCTTACAACCAAAGGGTTTTTGTTGTTGTCGTTGTTTGTTTGTTTTAAGAGACAGGGTCTTGCTCTGTTGTCCAGGCTGGAGTGGAGAGGCGCAATCACAGCTCACTGCAGCCTTGACCTCCCAGGCTCAAGCTATCCTCTCGCCTCAGGCTCTTGAGTAGACATCATACCTGGCTATTTAAAAAAACATATATATATTTTTTGTAGAGATGGGGGTCTCACTGTTGCCCAGGCTGATCTCAAACTCCTGGCCTCAACTGATCTTCCCACCTTGGCCTCTCAAAGCACCGAGATTACAGGTGTGAACCGCCACACCTAGCCTAAAGGGATCTTAATAGGGTTGAAATAGAGTCACCAAACTGTAGATGAAGAATCTGGGACTAAATTGGAATCTCCTGGTGCAGTAAACAATACTAAAATGGTGTTGACATCTAATCAGAGCTTGTATCTTCACTGCAACAATCCCTTAATACCTGTCCTACCAAAGAAACACAAGCCCTGGGCTTCTTTGTTATTAGGATTGGCACTTAAAAATCCTGAGTATAAGGCTGGATGCGGTGACTCACACCTATAATCCCAGTGCCTTCAGAGGATCATTTGAGGCCAAGAGTTTGAGACCAGACTGGTCAACATAGCAAGACCCCTGTCTCTACAATAAAAGATAAAAAAGAAAAATTAGCCAGGACTAGTGGCACATGCCTAGCTACTCAGGAGGCTGAGGTGGAGGATTGTTTGAGCTCAGGAGTTCGAGGCTGCAGTGAACTATGTGTTTTACAAAAATTTGCTTCCAATGTGTAGTTTGTCCTTTCATTCTCTTGACCGTGTCTTTTGCAGAGCAAAGTTTTTAATTTGATGAAGTCCAGTTTATCCATCCTGTCTTTTATGGGTTGTGCCCTCAGTGTCACATCTGAGAACTCTTTGCCCAACCCATGATCACAAAAGATTTTGCCCTTTTAGGGAGAAATGAAGTTTATACTTTTATTATTTACACTTAGGTTTATGATCTATTTTTAATTAATTTTTGTGTAAGGTATGAGGTATAGATTGAAATTCCTGATTTTGTATATGGATGTCCAGTTGTTTTAGCACACTTTGTTGAAAAGACTTTCTTCATTGAGTGGCCTCTCTGCCTTTTTTGGATATCAGTTGTTCATGATCACAGGTATTTGCATATGTCCAAATTCATCAAAGAGTATATATTAAATATGTGTAGTTCTTTGTATGGCAATTCTACTTCAATAAAGTTGTTAAAAAATAAATTGGCAATTTTTGTGTGGGTCTATTCCTGGACTCTCTATTCTGCTGTGTTGATCTATGTCTCTATCCTTTTGCCCATACTACATTGTCATCTTCATTAGTATAGCTTTTTAGTAAGTCTTAAAATCAGTAGTGTGAGTCCTCTTTGTTCTTCTTTTTTGAAATAATTTTGGGTATTCTAGTTCCTTTGCCTTTGGATATAAAATTTAGAATTAGCTTTTTGATTTGTATTAAAAAATCCTGGTGGCATTTTAATTGGCACTGCGCTAAATCTTTAGTTTGGGAAAAAACTGTCATCTTAATGTTGACTCTTAAAATCCATGAATACGGCATATCTCCCCATTTAGTTAGGTCACCTATGATTTCTTTTATTGGTGTTTTATAGTTTTCTGTATATAGATCCTGCACATCGTTTGTGCAGTTTTTAGTTTCAATTTCCAATTGTCCAAATAGCTAGTATATAGACGTATACTTGGTTTTTGTTTTGCCCTTGTATCCTGTGACCTTGCTAAACTCACATATTAGTTCTAGGAGCTTTTGTGTAGATTATTTTTCATGCAGACAATTGTGTTTTCATGCAGACAAAATGTGTTTTCATGCAGACAATTGTGTTCTCTGTGAATAGAGACTATTTTAATTATTACTTGCCAATCTCTATGCTTTTTATTTCTTTTTCTTTCTTTACTGCACTGTCTGGTATTTCTAGCATGATGTTGAATAGGAGTGGTGAAAGCAGACATCCGATCTTAGGGGGAAAGCATTCAGTTTTTCAACATTAAATATGATGTTGGTTGTTAAGTTTTGTTGTTGTAGAAGCTCTTTGTTAGGTTAAGAAAGCCTCAAGGTGCTGAGGGTGGCCTCCAGCCAACAGCCAGCAAGAATCCAGAGCCTTCAGTCTTACAGACACAACAAAATGGATTCTGCCAACAATCTGAGTGAGCTTTGAAGTGGATTCTTCCTCATTTATATTAACTTCCTATTGCTGCTGTAACAAATTATCACAAACTTAGTGGCTTAAAATGACACAAATTTATTATCTCACAATTCTAGGGGTCTGAAGTTCAAAATGAGTCCTATGGGGGATAAAATCAAGGCATCAGCAGGGCTCTATTCCTTCTGGAGGCTCTTGGGAAGAACCCATTCCTTGTCTTTTCCAGCTTCTAGAGGCCACCTGTATTATTTGGCTTGTGGCCCCTTCCTCTGTCTTCAAAGCCAGCAATAGATGGTTGAATCTTTCTCACATCACATCACTCTGACTTCTATTGTTACATCTTGTTCTTTGAATCTTTCTCTTATAAAGACACTTATGATTATAGAGCCCACTGTATAATCCAGAATAACCTTCCCATTTCAAGATCCTTAACTTAATCATATCTGCAAAGACCCCTTTGCCATATAGTGCCCTTGTACTATAACATATTCACAAGTCCTGAGGATTGGGACATTGACATCTTTGAGGGACCATTATTCTGCCTACCCACTAGTCAAACCCCCATATGAGAATACAGGCCAGCCAAAACCTTAGTTGCAGCCTTATGAGACCCTAAACATAGCACCCAGCTAAGCTATGCATGAACTCTTGAACCACAGGAAGTGTGAGATAATAAGTGTATTGTACTATGTTTGCGGTAATTTGTTAAGGAACAATAGAAAACTAATATAATAGGCATATAATTGTTCATAATGTTTCCTCATTATCCCTTTAATATCTGCCCTACAGACCTTATTTCATTCATGAATATCCCTTATTTCATTCCAGATATTGGTAATTCGTGTCTTTTTCTTTTTTTCTTAGTCTGGCTAGAAGTTTGTCAATTTTATTGGTCTTTTCAAAGAATCAGCTTTTGTTTTATTTGATTTTCTCTATTGATTTTCTGCTGATAATTTTGTTAAACTCTACTTTACCTTTTCAATTTTCCTCCTTATGTTTGCTTTGGGTTTTGTTTGCTCTTCTGTTTTTAGTTTAAGGTGGAAGCTTAGCCTTTTGGTCCCAAGATCTTTCTCCTTTTCTTTTTTAAAATCGAAATATAATTCACATGTTATAAAATTCACCTTTTTAAAGGGTACAATTCGTGGTTTTTAATACATTCACAGTGTTGTGCAATCATCACCACTATCTAATTTCATAATATTCTTCTTTATTGATATAAACATTCCCAAATTTTGATATATTTAAATTTCTCTAAATTAAAAATATTTTCTTATTTCCCTGGAGACTTACTCTCTGACACATGGGCTATTTAGTAGTGTCTTGTTTAGTTTCCAAGTATTTTAGGTTTTTCACAGCTATTTCTCTGTCATTAATTCCTATTTTATTCCATTGTGGTCCAAGAACATACTCTGTATGATTTCAATTTTTTTTTTTTTTTTTTTTTGAGACAGAGTCTCGCTCTGTCACCCAGGCTGGAGGGAGTGCAGTGGCACAATCTCTGCTTACTGCAACCTCCGCCTCTTGGGTTTACGCGATTCCCCTGCCTCAGCCTCCCGAGTAGCTGGGACTACAGCAGTGCACCCCCATGCCCAGCTAATTTTTGTATTTTTAGTAGAGACGGGGTTTCACCATGTGACCAAGCTGGTCTCGAACTCCTGACCTCAAGTGATCCACCCGTCACCAGTCAATTCTTTTTTTAATATAATTATATAAATTTTATTTTTCATGTGGTTATTATTATTTTTAACCATAACTGGCTTATGATTTCTTTCTTTCTTTTTTTTTACTCTAAGTACTGGGATACATGTGCTGAACATGCAGGTTTGTTACGTAGGTATACATGTGCCATGAAGGTTTGCTGCACCTATCAACCCATCATCTAGGTTTTAAGCTCCGCATGCATTAGGTATTTGTCCTAATGCTCTCCCACCCCTTTCCCCCTACCCCCGAGAGGCCCTGGTGTGTAATGTTCCCCTCCTTGTGTCCATGTGTTCTCATTGTTCAGCTCCCACTTATGAGTGAGAACATGCGGTGTTTGGTTTTCTGTTCCTGTGTTAGTTTGCTGAGGATGATGGTTTCCAGCTTCATCCATGTCCCTGCAAAGGACACGAACTCATTCTTTTTTATGGCTTCATAGTATTCCATGGTGTATATGTGCCACATTTTCTTTATCCAGTCTATCACTGATGGGCATTTGGGTTGGTTCCAAGTCTTTGCTATTGTAAATAGTGCTGCAGTGAACATACATCTGCATGTGTCTTTATAGTAGAATGATTTATAATCCTTTGGATATATACCCAGCAATGGGATTGCTGGGTCAAACGGGCATTTCTGGTTCTACATCCTTGAGGAATCAGCACACTGTCTTCCACAGTGGCTGAACTAATTTACACTCCCACCAACAGTGTAAAAGCATTCCTATTTATCCACATCCTCGCCAGCATCTGTTGTTTCCAGACTTTTTAAAGATCACCAATCTAACTGGCGTGAGATGGTATTTCACGGTGGTTTTGATTTGCATTTCTCTATTTATCACCTAGAAATATGGTTTATTTTTGTGAATATTCCACGTGCACTTGAAAATAATTTTGTTGGATGGAGTGCTCTTTAAATTAGGCAGTTAGGTCAAATGGGTTGATAGTGTCATTCAGGTCTTCTGTATCCTTACTGATTTTCTATATACTTGTTCTATTGATTACAGAGAGAGGAGTGTTTAAATCTTCCAGTATACTTGTGGATTTGACTTTTAGTAATACTAGTTTATGCTTTAGCATCTGTTATTATGTGCATATACCTTTGGATTGTGATGCTACCTTTGGGAATCAACCCGCTTATCATTATATAATGTGGCTCTTTACTCCTGGTAATAGTTCTTGTTCTGAAGTCTACTTTGTCTAATGTTAATATAGTCGGTCTAGCTTTGAGTTGCCATGCTATGTATTTTCTCATATTTTAACTTTTAATCTATCTATACAAGTTGAGTATCCCTTATCTGAAATGCTTGAGAGTTTGGATTTTTTCAGACTGTGAAATACAGTCGTGTGTTGCTTAACATGGGGATAGGTTCTGAGAAACGTGTTGTTAGGTAATTTCATCATTGTGCAAATATCATAAAGTGTACCTACACAAACCTAGGTGATATAGCCCACTACACACCTAGGCTATGTGTCATAGTCTATTCCTCCTAGGCTTAAACCTGTATACCATATTAGTGTACTGAATACTGCAGGCATTTGTAGCACAATGGTATTTGTGTATCTAAACCTATCTAACCATATAAAAGGTACAATAAAAATATGGTATAAGAGATAAAAAGTGGTCCACCTGTATAGGGCACTTACCATGAATGGAGCTTGCAGGACTGGAAATTGCTCTGGGTGTCAGTGAGTGGGTGGTGAGTGAATGTGAAGGCCTAGGAAATTACTGCACATGACTGTAGACTTTATAAACACTGTACACTTAGGCTATACTACATTTTTAATGTTTTTCTTTCTTCAAAAAAAATTATCCTTAGCTTACTGTAACTTTTTAACTTTATACACTTTTCAATTTTTAAAAAACTTCTTTACTCTTGTAATAACATTTAGCTTGAAACACACATTGTACAGCTGTACAAAAATGTTTTCTTTCCTTATATCCTTACTCTATAAACTTTTTCCTATTTTTCTTTTCTTTTTTTTTTTTTTGAGACGGAGTCTCGCTCTTGTCACCCAGGCTGGAGTGCAGTGGTGCGATCTCGGCTCACTGCAAGCTCCGCCCCCCGGGTTCACGCCATTCTCCTGCCTCAGCCTCCCGAGTAGCTGGGACTACAGGCACCTGCCACCATGCCCGGCTAATTTTTTTGTATTTTTAGTAGAGACGGGGTTTTACCGTGTTAGTCAGGATGGTCTCAATCTCCTGACCTCGTGATCTGCCTGCCTCGGCCTCCCAAAGTGCTGGGATTACAGGTGTGAGCCACCGCGCCCAGCCAACTTTTTCTTATTTTTAACATGTTTATTTAACTTTTTAAACTTTTTTCTTAAAAATGAAGACACGAACACGCACGCATTAGCCTAGGCCTACACAGAGTCAGGATCATTAATATCACTGCCTTCCACCTTCATATCTTGTCTCACTGGAAGGCCTTCAGAGGCAATAACAGGCCTGGAGCTGTCATCTCCCATGACAACAATGCCTTCTTCTGGAATACGTCCTGAAGGACCTTGCTGAGGCTGTCCTACAGTTAACTATTTTTTTTAAATAAGTAGAAAGAGTGCACTCTAAAATAAAGATAAAAAGTATGTCAGCATTTATATACATAAACCAGTAACAGTCATTTATTATCACTAGCAAGTATTATGTACTGTATATAATTGTAGGTGCTATAGTTTTATATAACCGGCAGCACAGTGGGTTTGTTTACACCAGCATCACCACCACCACGTGAGTAATGTGCTGCGCTGTGACTTACAGTGGCTATAGTGTCACTAGGTGATAGGAATTTTTCAGCTTCATTATAATTTTATGGGACCATTTTTGTATATTTCGTCCACCACTGACCAAAACATCATTTATGCAGCACATAGCTGTAAATAAAATCTAAAGGAAGGTCACTTGTTGAAATTACTTGTCATATGCCCATTACTGGGACAACCACTGTGGCTAGAAGGATGGGACTCTATAATTGGCTAGGTCCGAGTCTCAAGCTCACCCTGTGACAAGGAAGTACAATACTATAATTGGCAGCTGAATGAGAACCACATGGAGCAGAGTGGGGAAAGTTCTCTAAAGGCGAGGGTTGCTGTTGGTAGAAGAAGAGGAGAAAAGAATTGAGGGGCAGATTTTAAAAACAGATGTCCATTCTACCCTCTCAACTGAACCACCCTTTTTTCTTAGGACCTGGGAACTTTTGATTTCTTTTTGTTTCATTTCCCTTTCTTATTCATCAGAGCAAATTAATTACAAATTTCTGATGATTTTTCCATTTAAATGTTTCTCATCTTCTTCTCCCAAATTTCATCACCCTGGTCTGGATCTTTGTGACCTTGCACCTGCTTGTGTCAATAAATTCCAAATTGTCCTTCCTGCCTTCTCTTTGTAAGACCAATCCCTGGGTAGTCTGTAGCTGTATGCAACTTCTTAAAACACCAACTTCATCATCATTATCATAAAAATTATGTCAGCATTTATCTAATTTTTGTATACTTTGTAAAGTACTTTCACATATTGTCAAATAATCACCCCATGTAGAACTAGAAATCTCGATCTATAATATATTGGCTTTAATTAGATTAATCTAAAATTGTGCCTATAAACCTGTAAAACAGCAAAGTCACATCTTCAAATGGGTTTGGAAATGGATATGGAAACTTACAAGAGAAATAGTGTCAATCACTTAGAAAAAAACCCTGTCTTACATGCCAGAAGTTGAAACTCTTGTTGAACAGAATAGAAAGAATCTGTTTCTATCAGACTTGACCATGAAGGTGTCAAGACATTAAGGAGGTAGCTTCTAAATAGACAAGATATTGTCTTCTCAATGAGGCAGTTAGGAACCACCTACCATTAATAATAACACCAACAACTAACAGAATGCATGTGTTAAGTGCCTGCTATGTGTTAAGTATAGTTAAACATTTTACATAGATTATATTATTTTATTTAATCCTCCAAATAATCCTGCAAGGTGTTGTGGTGACCATAAAGAATATGCCTTTCCTATCTCCTACTGCAGAGCATAGTACTGGCAACCCTAGCTGCTGCACTCCGAATCAACTGCATTTGCACTAAAGGCCACACTTTCCATCGACTGTTCTCAGCCAACAAGTGATTGCAGCAGGGTACTAAGGCAGGCTTATTCTGACAAGATGTAGGACTCCTTTGACAGGCTACTTTGGCTTGAGGAATTCCCATTGGCCTTGCTGAAATTTTCTTAAAACAGCATGGCAGTTTTCTTAGTCTATTTTCTGCTGCTGTAACAAAATACCACAGACTGGGTAATTTATAAAGAAAATAAGTGTATTTAGCTCATGATTCTGAAGGTTGGGAAGTTTAAGAAGAGCATGGCACTGGCATCAAACAAGGGCCTTTGTGCTGTGTTATAACATGGTGGAAGGGCAAGTGAGTACAGGAGACAGAGGGAGGAAGGGTGGGACCAAACATCATTTTATCAAGAACCCACTCCTATGACAGTGAATCCACTCCCGAGACAACAGAATTAGTCTATTCATGAGGGCAGACCCCTTAAAGATCCCACCTCCTAATACCGTCACAATGGCAATTAAATTCGACATGGGTTTTGGAAGGGACATTCATACCATAGCAGCAGTGTAAGGCTCTTCCACACTAACCTTCTTTCTTTCTGTCTCACCTACACAGGACTCGGACCTATGTCGTGTTCTGATAGCTCTCCCAGCCTTCTCTGATTCCCTCTATTTTCCCTCACAGGAATTCACCCTCCCTCACCCCTTCCAAAGCTCTTGTGTATCTAATCTCATCTTGACATCTTCCCATTTGATGACCTAACCAACACACATGGTCCAAGAAAATAGGTATAAGATGGAGTTCCGGGTATAGTTCACCCATTGTCTAGTAACCAGAGATTACTCCCTCTTGGGTGGTACTTGGATAGTCCCTGGCATGCAGTGGTGGTACAGGTGCTAAAGATTTCACTAGAGGTTACCTGGGAAAACTCTCTGATTGAAAGGATTGCCTTTGCTGGTACAATGATTCTGTCATTTGGAAGACATGGGGGGAACAGTGCATACAAAGACAGTGGAGTTGGCTGGCTACTACTAAGCTGAATTGATGCTTTGCAGAGGGATAATGAGAATCAGAGGACGATTAACAGTTAAGAGGTCCAGAGAATTTATTTTATTTTTGATTTTTTAGATTTCTCTTTCTTTTTTTCCTTTTTTTTTTTTTTTTAAAGAGACAAGTTCTCATTATGTTTCCCAGGCTGAAGTGCAGTGGCTATCCACAGGCACAATCATAGCACATTGTAGTCTCAAACTCCTGGACTCAAGCAATCCTCCCACTTCAGGTTCCCAAACAGCTGGGATTACAGGCATGTGCCACCATGCCTGGCTAATCCAGAGACATTTAAATAAGCAGGCAAGGCAGGTCTATTATGCTACAGTCATGGTCCTGGTTGGAAAAACTTGGGGCCCTGGCATATGGCATACAGACATCTGGATGAATGCTTTGAAGATGTTGGCTGTAAAGACCCTCTGAACCCTAAGACTGCAGAAGTGGTCTACTCTTCTCTAGTAAGAGCTGGCATTTGTGTATTGATAGATGTTGCAGAGTCCCTTCTCTCATAAGGCAACAGCTGGCCCTCTCAGGGGCTCTACCCCTTCTCCTGGCTGTTAGGCCAAAAACTTAGGGTTAAATACCAGCACAACCTGGCCAGGAAGTGATAGACCTGATAAGGGAGACAAAATGTTATACACTGAAGGAACTAAAAGAATTAGCTATCACATATTGGCAGAAGCTAGGTGATATACCTGGGATTGTATTTTGAGGGTGCTTCATCAAGCAGGCTAGAATATAAGACTGGATAATGACTTGTGAACATTTTTTTCTTTTTATCAGCCTACATCATGCTTTGATTGTGAACAATTTTTTGGAACACAGGATTTAACACCCTGGCAAGAACCCTAGAGAATAGGGTGGTTCTTAGAGACTTGAAGAAAGTGATGGCCAATGTTGAGTGAAGTAGAAATGCTTTAGCTATTCTGACAGATGGTAGAAGAAATAAAGAGGCTGAGGAAAGTGAGCAAGCAAGAATAGCTATATTATGCAGGCTACAAAACATACCAGTTGATTATGTCTTATGGCAGAGCTCAGAAGACATATAGTTCACCCAGGCCATCAGGAAAATACTGCTGAAAGCAGCACTAGCACCACAGTGGTGGCTCCCCTCTGCAGTTCAGGGGCTGATAGTAGGAGAGGTGGTTACAGAGCTGGGCTCATTGATATCCATGGGACTAATGAGCTTCAATGTAATAGAGGCTATAATAATTGTAACAACCTTCAAGGTCTGAGGGACAGCCAAGGAGCTTCAGCTTGAGGGAGTTGTAGAGATGGTAATAGAGCATAATTCTCTGGGAGAAAAGTAGGTAGCAACACCAGGACCAATATATACTGTGATGAATCCCCTAGTTTTTTTTTCCTGAAAAGGACCTGGGGCTGTTTACTTGGGTGATTATAAACCAAGGAAGGGAAAATACCTAGACATTTGGAGGACTACTGGATACACAGTCTGAGTTGATATTGATACTTAGAGGCCCAAAACATCCTCATGGTTCTAATAGAATACGAGGTCTACAGAGACCAACTAATAAATGAAGTCCTGGCTAAAATCTGGCTCAGAGTGGACCTGCTTAGTTTGTGGATGCACCCAGTGGTCATTTTTTCCTGTTCCTGACTGCACTGGTATACTTAGATATTAGAGTAACCCTCATATTGGGTTCTTAGCCTGTGAGGTAAAAGATGTAATAGTGAGAAAGGCCAAGTAGAAACCTTGAAACTGTTCCCTCACCTTCCCTCCTCTCCCAGCCAAGAGAGTAAACAAACAATATCTTCCCTAGCAAGCGGACTCAGAGAAACAAACAAACAAACAAAAAAACAGTACCACATCCCTGGGTGGGTCCTGGGGAATGACTGAAGGCTGCTGCAGGCTTAAACAAGCAGTAGCCTCAATCACAGCTACTGTGCCAGATATGGGTTAATTGCTACAGCAGATTGATGAGTGTTCAGGTACATGGTATATGGCCAGTGAACTGACAAAGGCATTCTTTTCTTTCTTTTTTTATTATTATACTTTAAGTTCTAGGGTACAAGTGCACAATGTGCAGGTTTATTACATAGGTATACATGTACCATGTTGGTTTGCTGCACCCATTAACTCGTCATTTACATTAGGTATTTCTCCTAATGCTATGCCTCCCCCCTGCCCCCCATCCCATGACAGGCTCCCGTGTGTGATGTTCCCCGCCTTTGGTCCAAGTGTTCTTACTGTCAATTCCCACCTATGAGTGAGAACATGCCATGTCTGGTTTTCTGTCCTTGTGATAGTTTGCTCAGAATGATGGTTTCCAGCTTCATCCATGTCCCTGTAAAGGACATGAACTCATCGACAAAGGCATTCTTTTCAATTCCAATCAGTAAAGAGGATCAGAAACAGTTTATATTCATATGGGATGGCCAAAAATATTCATTTACAATTTGCCCTCAGGGTTATGTTAATGCCCCTGCCCTCTGTCATAATATAATTTGATGAGATCTGGACTACCTGTGTATTTTGCAGAACCATCACACTAATCCATTTCATTGATAGCATGCTGATGTGCTCTAGAGGGTGGGAGACACCCTAAAAGATTTAGGAACCTACAACTTCAGTGAAATTTTTAGGGATCATTAGAAGTTTGTTGGCATATCTTTCCAAAGTAAAAAATGAATTGCACCTCATGTATCCCCTACCATAAAGATGGAAGTACAGTGCCAGCAGACTTCTTTGGGATCTGGAAGCAACACATTCTACACCTAGGAACATTGCTCTGTCCCAACATGGAAGGCTGCCAGCTTTCAATGGGACCTGGAAAAGAAAAGGGTTCTGCAGTAGGTTTAGGCTGTGGTGCGAGCTGTCCTGCCAGTAGGATTTGGAGGACCCTAAGGTGTTGGAAATGTCAGTGGTAGGAAAAGATGCAGTATGAAGGTTATGTTAAGCTCCCAAGAAGGAATCACAATGCAGGCCTTGGAAGTCTGGCTACTGCTGCTTCTGAATGTTTAAGCTATCAGCAATAGAGACCAATGGTGTGCCCTTGATGTGGCACTATTCCTTGAGACCAACCAGCCACTTAGTGACAAGTCAACTACATTGGGCATCTCTCATACTGGAAGGGTGCTATGGTCTGACTGTTTGTGTCCCTTCAAAATTTTGAAATCCTAACCCCCAAGGTGATGGTATTAATAGGTGAAGCCTTTGGGAAGTGATTAGATCATGAGGGTAGAAATGAATGGGATTAATGTCCTTATAAAAGGGGCCCAAGGGAGCTTGTTTGGCAGAGAGCATGGTGGAAGGCGTCCACCATGTAAGGTTACAGTGAGAAGACATCTGTCTATGGAAAAATAGGGTCCTCACCAGACACTGAATCTGCCAGTGCCTTGATCTTGGTCTTCCCAGCCTCCAGAACTGTAAGAAATAAATTTCTGTTGTTTATAAGGTACCCATTTTATGATATTTTGCTATAGCAGCCTGAACAGACTGAGACAAAGGGCCAGTGGTTCATCCTTAGAAGGACAAATGACTTATTCTGGGTATGGGTTTGTCTTTGCTACCATTCATGCCTTAGCCAGCATCACTATTCAGGGGCTTATGGAATGCCTGCTCCACAAGCATACAATCCCACAGAGCATTAGCATCCAGACATGAGACCCACTTCCCAGTGAAGGAAGTGTGGAGTTGACCTATGATCATATTGTCTACTGGCCACATCACACATAGCATCATCCAGGGGCAGATGGTCTCAGAAAATGCTAGACCAGCCATTTAAAGGCACAGCTAAAGTGCCAGCTTGGTGGCAACATTCTGAAAGGATGGGGCACCATCCTTTAGGATGCAGTATATAGACAGAGACCTTTATATTGTGCTAGGTCCCCAGGAGGAAGAATACATGCGTCTAGGAACCAAGGGTACAAGCAGGAGTAACCCCACTTACCCTTACTCCTAATGACCCACTGGGGGATTTTGTATTTCATATCCATGCAACTCTGAGCTCTGCAAAATTGGAGGTGTCCTGGTCTCCAAAGAAGGTGCACTCTTGCCAAAAGATACAGTCAAGAGTCCCACCGAACTATAAGCTATGCCTCCCACCAAGGCATTTCAGGCTCCTTGTGTTTAGGAACCAGTCTGAGAGAAAAGGAGTCACCATATTGGCAGAGGTAATTAACCATGATCAGCAGAAGGAGGAAAGGCTGCTTTTACACAGTGGGAACAGGAAGGGAATATGTGTGAAATCTAAGTGACACAGTTGGACACCTCCTGGTATTCCCTTGCCTTCTCAAATGGACACTTACACAACTCCAGCTGGAGAAGGATGTGATTACCAACGGCATGATTACCAGACTCTTCAGGAGTGAAGGCTGGGTCACACCTTGGTGGCAGGTAAGCCACCAAGACCTGCCAAGGTTATAGATAACAAAGAGGGAACTTATTTTATTTTTTCGGAGAGATGGGGTCTCACTATGTTGCTGGCCTGGTCTTAAAACTCCTGGCCTCAACTGATCTTTCTGACTCAGTCTCCCTAAGTATTGGGATTATAGGTGTGAGCCACCACACCCTGTAAGAATTAAAGAAAGAGGAAAGAAACACCAAAGGTGGCTCACCAGTCAAGACAGGTTTTTTTTTTTTTTAGAGAAAACAAACCTGAGAGGAGCATTCTAGCCAAGTTAGGTCAGAGGCACACTCTCTTACAGGATTCAGGGTGGGAGAGTTTATCAGAGGCTTGGACTGCTTCTGTGTGTCTTTGTTGTGCTTATCTGGGAGGGAGAATTGTGTGTCTCTTCCCTCCCATCTTTCTGCAGCTGCAGGCATACCCTCAAAGTCTGCTTTTAGCTCCCCTATCTTAGTGCAAGGAAAGGAATGTGCTTATTAAGGCCCACTGTTTCACTGGGGCCCATTGTATAAGGGTGAAGTTTGGCAGTTACCCAAGAGACTTTCCCCCCACCTCCCTCTGTGCCTGAGCTGTCTTATCTGTGTTTTACTGTCTGCTCTTTCTGGCTGCTTGTAGTTAGAAGAGAAGTGATTTCCTTGAAATGTATGAGGCTAGAAAGGGAGCTGGAACTTAAAGTGGCGGTATTTGTCTGAGATGACAGTGCTCCTGCTCTGTCACACCCCACCTCAACAGTGAGGGGAATTTAGAATGGAGAAGGGAGAGTATGTGTACCAGTTGTAGGCCTGATATCAACAGTAGTGATGTTCCACTAACCTGGCCCTTCTAAGTTTACCTTTAGGAAGAAGGGTCTGTGGGAACCATAGAGGAGCTGCTCCTCAGTCCCCTGAGTAGAAGTAGATGTGTGGGACCATGAGAATGTGCCTCTCCAATCTCCTACTGTAGGGAATACAATTGGCTGGTGCTGTGTTCTAAACACATCACTACATTTGCTCTGAGGCCATGCTTCTCATGGTCTGCTTCCAGCCAGTGATGGCACATGGCAGGGATATTATGGCAGGTCCATTCTTATGAAACATAGGACTCCTCTGACAGACAACTCTGGCCTGAGAATTCTACGTGGCACCCTAAGGCCTGACCTATCCAACCTTTCTTCTTTCCTCCTCTCCTTCTCAGGGGTCAGGTGTGCATCTCTCTCTGACAGCTCCCTCAGCATCCTCCTGCTTCCTCCCAATTACCTTTTGCAGGCATTTCCCCCAATATCCTGCAAGTCTACACCGATTCTTGGCATCTACTTCTTGGAGGACCTAAACTAAGACACATAGGTATAAATTTACCCATTATTTTATTATTATTATTATTTGAGATGGAGTTTCGCTCTTGTTGCCCAGGCTAGAGTGCAATGGCACGATCTTGGCTCACTGCAACCTCCACCTCCTGGGTTCAAGCAATTCTCTGTCTCAGCCTCCCGAGTAGCTGGGATTACAGGCATGCGCCACCACGGCCGGTGAGTTTTGTATTTTTAGTAGAGATGCGGTTTCTCCATGTTGGTCAGGCTGGTCTTGAACTCCTGGCTTCACGTGATCCACCTGCCTTGGCCTCCCAAAGTGCTGGGATTACAGGTGAAAGGCACTGCACCTGGCCAATTTTATTATATTATTTTTTTTTAAATAAATCACGCTCATGGCTTTTTTTTTTTTTTTTTTTTGATGGAGTCTCGCTCTGTCGCCCAGGCTGGAGTGCGGTGGCACAATCTCAGCTCACTGCAAGCTCCGCCTCTTGGGTTCATGCCATTCTCCTGCCTCAGCCTCCCAGGTAGCTGGGACTACAGGCGCCCGCCACCACGCCTGACTAATTTTTTTTTTTTTTGTATTTTTAGTAGAGATGGGGTTTCACCGCGTTAGCCAGGATGGTCTTGATCTCCTGTCCTCGTGATCCGCCGGCCTCGGCCTCCCAAAGTGCTGGGATTACAGGCGTGAGCCACTGCGCCCAGCAACAGGCTCATGGCTTTTTTAACCCATTTTATAGATGAGGAAACTATGTTTCAGGGAAGTTCAGTAACTTGCACAGGGTTATATCGCCAGTAAGTGTCAGAGCTATGATTTAAATCCAGATAATCCTGGCGATATAACCATGTGCCTAGATCTCAATTTCCTGTTTTCCTGCCTCTGCAGTTTCTGTTTGCTTCATTTTCCCTTACTCTCCCGGAAAGGCTTTTGAATATTCTAGTCTGTCTCTGCCCTGCAAAGGCAAGAGGAGTTTTTGACTACATTTGTAACATAACGTGAAAGAAAGAACTTTGTATTCCTGGGGTGGGCCTCAGTTCTTGAGGTAACAAGGGAAGGAGAAACTCAGGGAACAGAGTTGGGGCTGCTTTGCTGAACTTCCCCTCACTGCCTGGGGAGTCTCCTGGAAGAGTTAAACCTTGAAAGTTCTGTTTTATAAGAGACCATATGCTAGAACATGTGCCTTCTTCAAGCAAAATCCTCTATGATTTTGTAAGGCTTCCTCTTCTTCATTAAACAAAACACAAAATTTCTAAGGTTAACACACTGGAATGAAAATCAAGGGCTGTCTCCACTTTGTGGCCCGGGCTCTGTGCCTGTGGAATTCATCCATCTTTTTCTGATCAGTTTCCCTCACCACACTGGCCTCAAGAAAACACTGTTCCTTCAACACTCTGATTCTCACGTGGACACAGGGCTTTTGTTAGATTCCCTATAAAAATATGGAATATCTGATTGAGATATTAGTAAAGGATAACAAAAGGGAAACTAATCTAGAGAACCATGAATCTATTTCAGACAACATGACTTGGAAGTCAGAGCTTTATTTTCAGAATCTTCATGATCCTTTCCATCTCTGCGCAGGGCTAGCCAGGTTCTTCCCTTCCTGGCCCTTGGTTGGCCTCCAGTAGGTGAAAACCATTACCTTTTACATCAAGCGAGGCCAGACAGCTTTCTGCCTTGTTGTTGTGATTTTCATTTTTTTTTTTAAATTGATCATTCTTGGGTGTTTCTCGCAGAGGGGGATTTGGCAGGGTCACAGGACAATAGTGGAGGGAGGGTTAGCAGATAAACAAGTGAACAAAGGTCTCTGGTTTTCCTAGGCAGAGGACCCTGCGGCCTTCCGCAGTGTTTGTGTCCCTGGGTACTTGAGATTAGGGAATGGTGATGACTCTTAACGAGCCTGCTGCCTTCAAGCATCTGTTTAACAAAGCACATCTTGCACCGCCCTTAATCCATTCAACCCTGAGTGGACACAGCACATGTTTCAGAGAGCACAGGGTTGGGGGTAAGGTCACAGATCAACAGGATCCCAAGACAGAACAATTTTTCTTAGTACAGAACAAAATGAAAAGTCTCCCATGTCTACCGCTTTCTACACAGACACGGCAACCATCCGATTTCTCAATCTTTTCCCCACCTTTCCCCCTTTCTATTCCACAAAACCGCCATTATCATCATGGCCCGTTCTCAATGAGCTGTTGGGTACGCCTCCCAGACGGGGTGGTGGCCGGGCAGAGGGGCTCCTCACTTCCCAGTAGGGGCGGCCGGGGCAGAGGCGCCCCTCACCTCCCGGACGGGGCGGCTGGCCCGGGGGGGGGGCTGACCCCCCCACCTCCCTCCCGGACGGGGCGGCTGGCCTGGCGGGGGCTGACCCCCACCTCCCTCCCGGACGGGGTGGCTGCCGGGTGGAGACGCTCCTCACTTCCCAGACGGGGTGGCTGCCGGGCAGAGGGGCTCCTCACTTCTCAGACGGGGCGGCTGCCGGGCGGAGGGGCTCCTCACTTATCAGACGGGGCGGTTGCCAGGCAGAGGGTCTCCTCACTTCTCAGACGGGGCGGCTGGGCAGAGACGGTCCTCACCTCCCAGACGGGGTCGCGGCCGGGCAGAGGTGCTCCTCACATCCCAGACGGGGCGGTGGGGCAGAGGCGCTCCCCACATCTCAGACGATGGGTGGCCGGGCAGAGACGCTCCTCACTTCCTAGATGGGATGGCGGCCGGGAAGAGGCGCTCCTCACTTCCTAGATGGGATGGCGGCAGGGCAGAGACGCTCCTCACTTTCCAGACTGGGCAGCCAGGCAGAGGGGCTCCTCACATCCCAGACGATGGGCGGCCAGGCAGAGACGCTCCTCACTTCCCAGACGGGGTGGCGGCCGGGCAGAGGCTGCAATCTCGGCATTTTGGGAGGCCAAGGCAGGCGGCTGAGAGGTGGAGGTTGTAGCGAGCCGAGATCACGCCACTGCATTCCAGCCTGGGCACCATTGAGCACTGAGTGAACGAGACTCCGTCTGCAATCCCGGCACCTCCGGAGGCCGAGGCTGGCGGATCACTCGCGGTTAGGAGCTGGAGACCAGCCCGGCGAACACAGCGAAACCCCGTCTCCACCAAAAAAATACGAAAACCAGTCAGGCGTGGCGGCGCGCGCCTGCAATGGCAGGCACTCGGCAGGCTGAGGCAGGAGAATCAGGCAGGGAGGTTGCAGTGAGCCGAGATGGCGGCAGTACAGTCCAGCTTCGGCTCGGCATCAGAGGGAGACCGTGGAAAGAGAGGGAGAGGGAGACCGTGGGGAGAGGGAGAGGGAGAGGGGGTGGGAGCGGGAGCGGGAGCGGGAGAGGGAGAGGGAGACTCAATTTTTTTTTTTTGAGGACTCTTATTCACCCTAGATACTTGGCACGGGAATCACTTCACCCCACTGCTGAAACTCTATCCCTTACCAGTAGGGCTGCAGCTTCCACAGTGTATCTGTATCCCAATTTAACCTCTTTTTTCCCTCCTCTTTGTCCTCATCTGTCTTCATTGTCATCATCATTCTTATCTGTACTGGATAATTTTCGCATTCTCATCAGTACACAAATATGTTGTGAGATACTGTTGACACACACACACACACACCCCCCCCCCACACACAAATACACTCCTTTATTCCACAACCCTTTTTAATTTATGGCTCTTTTCTCTGTTATCCTTTCCAGTGAAACTCTTTCCTATGTAGCTGTCTCCACCACCACCTCTCTTCCCATTCTCTCTCTTTTTTTTTTTTTTTCAGATGAAGTCTCGCTCTGTCCCCCAGGCTGGAGTGCAGTGGCACAGTCTTGGTTCACTGCAACCTCTGCCTCCCGAGTTCAAGCAATTCTCCTGCCTCAGCCTTCCAAATAGCTGGGACTACAGGCACGTGCTACCATGCCCGGCTAATTTTTGTATTTTTAGTTGAGATGAGGTTTCATCATGTTGGCCAGGCTGGCCTCGAACTCCTGACCTCAGGTGATCTGCCTGCCTCAGCCTCCCAGAGTGCTGGGGTGCTGGGATTACAGGCATGAGCCACTGCGCCCGGTTCCATTCTCTCTTGAACCCACCACATCAATTAGACTTTCATTCCTACCCTTCCACTGAGAAGGGTCTTGTAAAGGTCCCCAGTGGCCTTCAAGTTATGAAATCCAGGATTCAGTTCTCAATCCACATCTTACATGTCCTCCAGGTACCATTAACGTAGTTGATCATTCCCTCTTACCTTAGTAAACAATCTTCACTTGCTTTGGCGACACCACATTCCTCTAGTTTTCTGCCTGTGTCATGACCTGCTTTTTCTTATATTTCTCATCTCTAAATGTTGACTCAGGGCTCAGTCCTTTCCTTTATCTATATTCACATCCTTTCAGGGGTCGGCAAACTACTGCTACAAAGGGTCAGAGAGTAAATTGCTTCTGTAAAAGGCCAGAGAATACTTTTGGTTTTGTGAGCCATATGGTTTCTGTTGCAACTACTCTAGAAGCTGTAGACAGTATATACATGTTGAATTGATCATTGTCATGACTGCTACATTATTCAGCACCCATTATGTGCCTTACATTGCTAAATAAATGATAATTTGTCAACCTGGTATTTCACCATAGCTACCTGAGCATTACTGGAGCTCCAAGGAAGGAAAAGTTCCCTTCCTGTGTAAGGGAAGGGCAGAGTCCTATTTTGAAAGGTCTGTATACTTCTCCAGGTCTTGTGCCCAATTTTGTTTGAGAGTCAGGGATTTCGAAAGGCTTAAGGCTCAGGAGGTCCTGTTTTTTTTCCAATTAATGTCAGAATTCAGCCTTTGCTGAGAGTAGGAAGGGGGGGCTGGGGGTACACAGGAGGCATGTTCAGCAGCTGGGAGGAATGAGGGACAGCTCTCAGCAGGGTCAGAGGAAGAGGGAGGTTACTTTATTTATTGCGATGGGGTGATTAAACTCCCAAAATGAATTTTGAGAGACAGCTGCACACAGAATAGAGATAGTGATTAGAACTAATTACTGTTGTTGTAGATGTTTTGCATTTGTACGGCACTCTGTATTTACAAAGAATTTTGTAATCACTTATTAACTCCCCCTCACCATAGACTTGTGACATAAGCAATGTTACTACATGTTTGTTTCTGCCTTCTGGAAAGAATCTGAGTGGCTGTGGCCACACACTGAAATTGTGGAATCAAAATCCTCACTGCAACTCTCTTACTCCCAGTGTGATTTTGAGAATCTATATAATGAGAACTTGGACATTGTCTTACTCAATAATTTTACTATGAAGAATAACTCGTGAAGATGGTTTAGTGCTTTGCTAAATTAAAAAATATATCATCTGGAAGGACCTAATAACAGTAATAATCTCAGGCTGAGGCAGGCGGATCACTTGAGGTCAGGAATTTGAGACCAGCATGGCTAACATAGTAAAACCCTGTCTCTACTAAAAGTACAAAAATTAGCCAGGTGTGGTGGCACCCACCTGTGATCCCAGCTTGAACCTGGGAGGCAGAGGTTGCAGTGAGCCAAGATCATGCCACTGCACTCCAGCCTGGGTGACAGAGCGAGACTCTGTCTCAAAAAAAAATTAATAAACTCTAACTTCAGTTGCCTCCATGTTTTTTTGTTTTTGTTTTTTTTTTTTTGAGACAGAGTCTCACTCTGTTGCCCAGGCTGAAGTGCAGTGGCGTGATCTCAGCTCACTGCAAGCTCAGCCTCCCCGGTTCACGCCATTCTTCTGTCTCAGCCTCCTGAGTAGCTGGGACTACAGGTGCCCACCACCATGCCAGGCTAATTTTTTTGTATTTTTAGTAGAGACAGGGTTTCACCGTGTTAGCCAGGATGGTCTCCATCTCCTCACCTCGTGATCCACTCACCTCGGCCTCCCAAAGTGCTGGGATTACAGGCATGAGCCACTGTGCCCAGCCTCCTCCAGGTTTTTTGAAATAAAATTAATAATAGAGTGAGTCTATATCATAGAATTTTTACATGGCCAGTGCTTAGCATAGTGCCCAGCTTGTTTACTTAATAAATGCTTAATAAATATTAGCCATTATTAATATCATAAGAAAATCTGTGTAATATATTCTCATTGCCTCTACTTGATTGCTTTAATGTTTCTGACTTTGAATAAAGATGCATACACATGTTTATTCACTTGTTCAGCAATATTTATTGATTGACTACTACTTATCAGGCATTGTTCTTGGAGCTAAGGAAATAGTGGTGAATATAAAAGGAGTTCGTTAGCAGGGCGTGGTGGCATGCATGTAGTATCATATACTTGGGAGGCTGAGGCAGGAGGATCTGTTGAGCCCAGGAGTTTGAGGCCAGACTGGGCAACATATCAAGACACTGTCTCTTTGAAAAAAAAAAAAAAAAAAAAGAGTTCCTGCTCTCATGAAGCTTATACTGTGGGGAGGGGACTCATATTATCATGTTGGAGGGGCTCACATTCTAGTGGAGTTAGGTTGTGATAGAGAAGAGAGAAGCAGTGATTCAGTGATTGCAGTACATTTAGAAAATATGTGGAGAAAATTTTTCTGAATTTTTATATAAAATAGTATTTTTTATAGTGACAGGTAAAATATATTTATAAACTATTAATTTTATATAAAATTACTTAAGTATATACTTACATATTTTTAAGAATATACTTATTAATTGTAAAATATTTAAGGAAAAGACTATTATACAAGTAGTAACACCATACTGAAATTTGGAAAAATAGAAAAATTATCCATAATTTCATTACTAATTTTATTCATTTAAAATTGCCTTGGCACATTTTAAAATATAGTTTATTCAGCACACATTTACTGAGGATCTATTTTGTGCCAGGTACCTAGTCCATGGGATATTCAACAGTGGTTAGGTGAGGCTAGTGAGATCATAGGTAAAAGTAACTAAGAGGTAATTATGACATCCTTTCCCCTGGTATCCCATACAGTAGGATCCTAGAGAAAGACAGCTACTGCGAGTCTGCCCATTTGCCCTCTGCAGAACCTCTGGGCTAGAAGACATCAAAGTTCAACCCCCTTTTCCATGCTTGAATCTCTTACCACATCCCTGGAGTTCTTGCTGCTTCAGCATGGGAAAAAAATGGGCTTAGTTTCCTGACATTTGGGCATGGCTTGGGGTTGCAAACAGCATTCTGAACTCCCTTAGCCCAGGGGAATATTGGCTATGTTGAAAAAAGCAGGTACAGATGATAGACAGAAGCAGGATTAAGCCCCTAGGAGATGCCAGGTGGCTGAAGACCAGAGAGAAGTTTCTGGAGATAGAGAGGAGCCCCAGGTTCTCACTGTTGTGTTCTCACCCTCCCGTGATTTCATGGGAAAATAGTCACTCCTTACCCCACACCATAAGGACTTACACTTTTCTTTCTTTTAGGCTTATGGGTTGAGCTGGAAGCCCAAGTCCCTTCAATATAACCCTGAAACAAGTTAATTTCACATTCTACAGGCTCAGGATTTAGCCTCTTGCCCTCTTTTCCCACTTTCACCAGTATCTCCCCAGGCTGACTTCTTGCCTAGTGTGTTTGTTAGTCCATTCTCACATTGCCATAAAGAAATACCTGAGGCTGGGTTGTTTATAAAGAAAAGAGGTTTAATTGGCTCACAGTTCTGCAGGCTGTATAAGAAGCATGGTGGCTTCTGTTTCCCATGAGGCCTCAGGGAGCTTTTAGTAATGGTGGAAGGCAAAGCAGGAGCAAGCACTTGCGCAGCAGGACCGGGAAAGAAGGGGGAGGGGCCACACACTTCTTAATTTTTTATTTATTTTTTATTTTTGTTGTATTTCAATAGTTTTTGGAGTACAGGTGATTTTTGGTTACATGGATGAGTTCTTTAGTGATGATATCTGAAATTTTGGTGCACCCATCACCTGAGCAGTGTACTGTACCTAATATGCAGTCTTTTATCCCTCAACCCCCTTCCACCCTTCCCCCTGCATCCTCAAGTTCATTATACCATTCTTTTTTTTTTTTTTTTTTTGATACAGAGTCTTGCTCTGTTG
The DNA here is from genome assembly GCF_000001405.40 of Homo sapiens. Lineage (NCBI taxonomy): Eukaryota > Metazoa > Chordata > Mammalia > Primates > Hominidae > Homo > Homo sapiens. The sequence continues at coordinate 34,931,353 of NC_000009.12, read as the reverse complement.
CCCAGGCTGGAGTACAGTGGCACTATCTCGGCTCACTGCAAGCTCCGCCTCTCGGGTTCATGCCATTCTCCTGCCTCAGCCTCCCGAGTAGCTGGGACTACAGGAGCCCGCCACCATGCCCGGCTAATTTTTTGTATTTTTAGTAGAGACAGGGTTTCACCATGTTAGCCAGGATGGTCCGGATCTCCTGACCTCGTGATCCACCGCCTCAGCCTCCCAAAGTGCTGAGATTACAGGCGTGAGCCACCGCGCTCGGCCTCATTATACCATTCTTATGGTGCCACACACTTTTAAACAACCACATCTCATGAAAACTCACTCACCATCAGGAGAACAGCACTGAAGGGATGGTGCTAACCCATTCATGAGAACTTCACCCCATGATCCAATCACCTCCCACCAGGCTCCACTTCCAACATTGGGGATTACAATTCGACATGAGATTTGGGCCGGGACACAAATCCAGACCATATCGCCTACATATGTTTCAAACTGGGATGCAGTTTCCCAATTTATTCCTCACCCTTCAGACACTGAAACAAGTTTATGAACAATATTTAGCTTTTTAACATTAGAATTGGAGTTATAATATTGAAAGATGTTGAAAAGGTAATCTGGGCTAGTTCCTCTCCACATCCCTGACCCTATCTGAGAAGTTTGTTAGCTTCTTTGTTCTTCTAAAAAACATCAATTCCCTAATGGCAAGATTCCATAAGAGAAGAAGAATTGTCATACCATTGCTAGAAATCTTCATAAATACCAGGAGTAAATGTCCCTGATCTTTGTGAAAATGCATTTGGGGCTCCTTCGCTTCCTTCCAGCCCTTTCCGGACATATCCCTTGATTCTGCTCTGGAGGTGAGCACTGGCCACAAAGTCCTGCACTGTCTTTATTTAGGACACCAGGCCCACAGGATTCTGGGTGCCTCCTTCAGTGAAGAGGCTTCTGCACTCTACCCTTGTGTCAGAAATCCCATAAAGTTAAGGAACAAGAGATGGTAAACCATTTCAGGAGATAAATCATTTCAGACACACCCAAATGGGATGTCTTATCTCACGTTCCTTCTCTTTTACCAAAGGAAGAGTCAACCAGGTTATCCCCGACACAAGAGACCCGAAGCATGAGTCTCGGCACCACTTAAGTACACTGAGAAACCTGCACAAACCAGTGGCTCCTCCCAGACACTGAGAAATTAAACTTCAGGCTTGGATGAAGCCCCAGACATTTTAGGGAGATGATCAACAATTTTTCTTCTCTATTTTACGTGGAAATGCTAATTTCACTTGCAAAAGAGAAGCCCCAAAATAGTATTCTTTATGATTATAACAGCAGAAATGTAGGAGTATAAAAGTTGTAATGTTATAGACAAATTAAGCATGAAATGCAAATATAATAGCAGAGTGGGCTGGGTATCCAGATCTCGCTGAAATTCTCTGAAAGGGTTACAATGTAAAGCTTCTTCAGGGGACTAAAGGACCACAGTGTTAGGGAGAAACAGTAGGGGAAAAAAGAGGATGAAGAGTCGGGGAGGCCATCTTAGGTTTGTGATCTCTCTTCAACTCTTCTCAGGAGGCTGATCACAAATTTGAATACTTGCAGCAGTGAATTCTCCCACGGCAGTATGTGTGCTTGAGCTAATAGCTGTTACATGGCGGGGCTGTAGGGGGCGACAATACAGATTGCTGCTTATGGTGACTCTCACAGCTTAACGATATTTGATTACCTGCAAATCTGATTGCTTTAATCCTCTGCTCTAAATTCTTCAACAGATCCCAGTACTAATAGAATAAGATCACTCATCATTCATTAGTTTGCTCATCTCATCCCTTCATTTTTTTCCCCACAAATATTTATTGAGTAATAGACCCTGTGCTAGGTGCTGGAGATGTAGCAGTAAAGAGAACAGAAAAGGGAGTCCCACCCTTGTGGAGTTTGTTCTGGTGGAGACAGACCATAAGCAAATAATTTAAATGGAGATAATAGTTTGATAATAGATTGATGTGGATTTTTTTCACAGACACCCTAACCCAAATCATATTTAAAAAATCCAATCATATTCCCCTGCTGCCATTCCATCAAAATGGTCCCCACCTAACAAACAAAAGGAGCATATGATAAAGGGGAAACTCCCTCCAGAGGAGGTGAAATAAAAAGAAGCACTTTTCATTGACAGTGGGAGTATGGAGGTGGGATGATGCAATAGAAATATTCAGATAGGGAGAAGGGTGACCTGAGATCCTTTGATCTTGGTGACAGGGTACAAGCCTCAGAGAAGCTCTATGTTTGACATGGAGGTGGGGGAGGGAAGAGTGGGCTATAGCACAGCATCTGTGAAGGCAAGTGTCTAGGGAGTGCTGCTGAAATCATGCTGGGTTCCCAGTGGTCTGTATCTAGAAGCGATTCAAAAGTTCCTGTGTAGCCCCAGGGTACCAAGAGGACTGCAAGACCAAGGGACTCCTGGACTACTGAGATGAGAGCAGTAATGGAGTTTGGTGCTTCCAGAGTTCTGGTGGTAGTGTTTGTTTGTCCATCCCAAGTGGATTCTAGGACAGAAGTTAATGGACAGGGATGGATTAGAGATAAGCTGGATGATACATCTCAATTGGAGTCCAGCAGAAAATGGCAACACATAGACCAGCTGTACCCAGGGAAGAGCAGTAAACTTTCCCTTATACAGACACTGTGCTCCCATAGGAGAAGGGAGAGGGGAAGAACAATTCTATAAGGGCTGAACTTTGAATTAATGCTTACCAGGAAGAGACTATCACACATGAAAAGATGGAGGGAGAATGAAAAAAAGACTGGCCTGATAGGAAAGGTTTAGCTCAGGAGAGTCTTTTTTGCCACAAAGCAGAAGCATAAACTTTGTTGACTCATTAGTGGGTTTTAAAAAAATTTTTAATTTTTGTGGGTATATAGGTGTATATATTTATGGGGTACATGAGATGTTTTGATACAGGCAAGCAATGCATAATAATCACATCATGGAGAATGGGGTATCTATCCCTTAAGTATTTATCCTTTGTGTTACAAACAATCCAATTATACTCTTTTAGTTATTTTTAAATGTACAATTATTATTGGCTATAGTCATCCTGTTGTGCCGTCAAAGAGTAGATTTTTTTTTTTTTTTTTTTGAGACAGAGTCTCACTCTTGTTGCCCAGGCTGGAGTGCAATGGCGTGATTTCAGCTTACTGCAACCTTCACCTCCTGGGTTCAAGCGACTCTCCTGTCTCAGCCTCCCAAGTAGCTGGGATTACAGGCACTCTCCACCATGCCTGGCTAATTTTTGTATTTTTAGTAGAGGCAAGGTTTCACCATGTTGGCCAGGCAGGTCCAAAGGTAGATCTTATTAATTCTAGCTATTTTTCTATATCCATTAACTATCCCCACCTCCCCCCAGCTCCCAACTCATTAATGTTTTAAAACATAAGTTTCATGAAGTCACACCTCTGCTTAAAATCCTTCAATAGTGACATTGGCAAGATGGCTGGATAGAGATGCCTGGTATTCATCTATCCCACAAGAAAGGCCCAACACAATGAATAAACAAACTAAGGTTTGACTGGAGTGTGGAAGGGAGAGTGGTGGAGTGTGGTGGGGGAGTGGAGATGCACCTGTGGTGATCAGAAATCCAGGAGGGCAGCGAGGAAGCACTGGGCCTCTATAGCCCTGTCTCCCCCACCTGGATTGGATGTGCCCAGAGTCAGGAAGGACTTCTTATTGCAGGGAAAAGGTAAGCACAAGATCTCCACCAGCCCCCACTGGCACTGCAAAAACCTACAGTCCTTATTACAGAAGAATCCTACGGTCTTCCCAAGCCCTGAGCCCAGTTTGAAGAGCTGCTGGGTATGCAAGCAGCTACATTGCTCCAGATTAGGAGAGCAAGGTGTGCACTCCCCATTCCCCCCATCCCACTCCCTGTGGGCCAAGCTGCTGCAGCATAATGCCATCTTGAGAAAAGAGCAAACTCTGAAGCACACCCTGTTCTGGGGGCCGGTAGCCACTGCATATCTCCAGCACTGGGGCGCTCCATCCTCATTATGCCAAGCCCACACCACACGGTTGGCTGAATGCCATACGTCAGCTGCACAGAGCTTGGGCCTAGGATCAGCTGTGACTCTGGTCCTGCACAGCAAGAAAACAAACCCCTGCTTACTGCACTTCCAGCCAGATGAACAGTCTGCCAGTCCTGCCCAGGGCCAACCTGCCTTGAGCTGGCCAAACTGCTCTGCACCCTCCCACAAGAGAGAGAGGCCCCTGAGCCTCCTAGTAGCTAATATGCACCCAGGCCAGTGGAGTGGCTATGCTCCCATGCTCAGGACCGGAGAAACAGCCCCACAGCACCCCTGCCTCTGCAGACATGCCCCTGGCCTGCCTAATGGCCCTGCATTTCCCATAAAGACCTGGGAAATACTCCTTCAGGCTGCCCCCGGTAGGCACGACCCCAAACCAGCTAAGCAGCCAAGAGCCCACATCCAGGACTTGAGAAACAGCTCTGTGGGCCACCACTAGTGAACATGCCCTGGGCTGGCCAGGAAGCCATGTGCCTGCATACCAGGCCTAAGAAACAGCCCTGTGGGCCATCTCCAGCAGAAGTATCCCCAGGTCAACTGAGCAGCCACGAAGCTGTGTCATGAGCCTGAGCAACAACCCTGTGCCTGCCCCCAGACCTGTCTCCTACGCCAACACAGCAGGTGTGCACCCATGTCTCAGGCCCCAAAAACAGCCCCACAGGCCACCTCTGGTGGGCATACCTGCAGGCCAATCAAATAGCCCTGTGCTTACATCTCAGACCTACAAAACAACCCTGTGGGCCACCCACTGCAGAAACACCCCCAGGCCAGTCAAGCAGTTGTGCAGCTGTGTCCTGGGCCTGAGAAAATGTCCCATGAATCACCCCATCAGGTGTATCCCTAGGCCAGCCAAGCAGCTATGCACCCATATACCAGGCCTAAGAGACAGCCCTGCTGGCCTCTCTGGTGGGCATTCCTCCAGGTCAGCTGAGCAGCCTTACACCCATGTCCTAGGCCTTCGAGAAACAGCTCTGTGAGCCACTTCTGGCAGGCATGTCCCCAGGGTGGCCAAATAACTCATGCTCCTGGACAGAGTAATAGCCCCATGGCCCCAGCCCCAGTGAGCCAGATCCCAAGTTGGCCAACTCACCATATGCACACACATGCCTCTGACCTGAGAAACAGGCCAGTGAACCCAGCCCTGGCAAAGTTGCACCACCATTGCCACAAATTATTTCAGACTAGGCCACTGAGAAATGGCCAAATGCCACTAGTGTGGATAATGGCTGAAGAAACTACATGGAGGTTACATTACACTACTGTATCTTCCTAAAACCAAGGCCAGTACACCCCATGAACCAACACCCCAGGTCCCATTCATATAAACAAGTCTTTTCTTATGAAACCTACTCCATAAAATTGGAAGAGGTGATTTTTCCACCAAAGGCATATAAATCAACATAGGAACACACAATCATGACAAAGCAAGAAAACATGTCACCTCTAAAGGAAAAAGACAATTCTCTAGTAACAGGCCCCAATCTTGAGGAAGTAGATGAAATTCCAGAAAAAAGAATTCAAAATAACAACCTTAAGGAAATGGATTGAGATACAAGAAAAATACAGATAGACAATTCAATGAAATCAGGAAAACAATTGATAATTTGAATAAGAACTTCAACAAGAGATAGATATCATACAAAAGAGTCAAACAGAAATCCTAGAGCTAAAAAAGTCAATGAATGAAATTAAAAATACAATCCACAACTTCAATAATAGACTAGACCAAGCAGAAGAAAGAAGAAAGCCTACTAAATTTTTGGCACACTATAAAGCAAACAAGTATTTGTATTATGGGTGTTCCTGAAGTAGAAGAGAAGGGGAAAGATGAGGAAAATATATTTAATGAAATAATAGCAGAAAACTTCCCATGTCTTGGAAGAGAAATAGACGTTTAAGTCCAGGAAGCTCAAAGAATTGCAAGTAGATTCAACCCAAACAGGTTCTCTCTGAGGAACATTATAGTCAAATTGTAAAAAGCCAAAGACAAATAATTCTAAAAACAGCAATAAAAAATGTCAAGTCACATATAAGGGGCCCCACTAACAGCGGATTTCTCAGCAGAAGCCTTACAAGCCAGGTGAGTGAGGAGTGAATGGGATGATATATTCAAAATACTGAAATAAAAAAATCCTGCTAGTCAAGAATATTATAGCCAGCAAAGCTATTATTCAGAAATGAGGGAGAAATAAAATCTTTCATAGACAAGCAAAAATGAAAGGAATTCATTACCACTAGGCCTTACAAGACATGCTCAAGGGAGTCCTACATCTGGAATTGAAAAGATGATTACCATTATCAAGAAAACATGTGAAACTATAAAACTCACAGGTAGAGCCAATATACAAAGAAGAAAGAGAAAGGAATCAAAGCTTAGCACTACAGAAAACCACCCAACTGCAAAAATAAACAATAAGAGAGGTGGTAAGGAACAAAAGATATACAAAACAACCAGAAAACAAATAACAAAATGGCAGCAGTCCTTACTTATCAATAACAACATTGAATGTAAATGGACTAAACTCTCCAATCAAAAGACATGGAGTGACTGAATGGATAAAAAACCAAACCCAACTATCTGCTGCCTACAAGAAACACACTTCACCTATAAAGACACAAATAGACTGAAAATAAAGGAATGGAAAAAGATAATCCATGCAAATGGAAACCAAAAAAGAGCAGGAGTAGCTATACTAATATCAGCTAAAATACATTTCAAGACAAAAACCATAAAAAGAAACACAAACGGTCATATTATATGTTGAAAAAGGGGTCAATTCAGCAAGGGTATGTAACAAGTATTAATGTATATGCAGCCAACACTGGAGTACCCAGATATATAAAGCAAATATTATTACAGCTAGAGAGATAGACCCTTATACAATAATAGCTGGAGACTTCAACACCCCACTTTCAGACTTGGACAGGTTTATCTAGACAGAAGATCAACAAAGAAACAAAAGGACCTAATCAAAATTTACAGAACATTTCATCCAATGGCTGCAGAATACACATTCTTCTCCTCAGCACATGGAACATTCTCAAGGACAGCCCATATATTAGGCCACAAAAGAAGTCTTAAAAATTTCAGGAAAACTGAAATAATATCAAGTATCTTCTATGACCAAAATGGAATAAAACTAGAAATAATAAAAGGAATTTAAAAAACTATACAAGCACATGGAAATTAAACAATATGCTCTTGAATGACTAGTGGGTCAATGGAGAGATTAAGAATGAAATTGCAAATTTTCTTAAAACAAACCATAATGGAAACAACATACCAAAATCTATGGGATAATCTAAAAGCAGTGCTAAGAGGAAAATTTATAGCAATAAGTGCCTACATCAAAAAAAGTAAAAAAAACTTCAAATAAACAAACTAATGATGCATCTAAAAACCTAGAAAAGGGCAAACCAAACTCAAAATTAGAAGAAAAAAGTAATAAAGATCAAAGCAGAAATAAATAAAAATGAAAACAATATAAAAAATCAATGAAATGAAAAATTGTTTTTTTAAAAGATAAACAAAATGGACAAACCTTTAGTTAGACTAACCAGGAAAAAAGAGGGAAGACCTAAACAAAATCAGAGATGGAAAAAGAGATTACAACTCATAATGTAGAAATTCTGAGGATCATTACAGACTACTATAAGCAACTCTATGCCAATAAATTGAAAAACCTAGAAGAAGCAGATAAATTCCTACATACATACAACCTACCTAGATTATATCATGAAGAAACCCAAAACCTGAGTAGGCCAATAACAAGTAATGAGATCAAAGCCATAATAAAAGTCTCCCAGCAAAGAAAAGCCCTGGACCCAATGGCTTCACTGCTGAATTTTACCAAACATTTAAAGAAGGACTAATACCAATCCTACTCAGACTATTCCAAAAAATACAAGGCCAGTATTATCCTGATACCAAAACCAGACAAAGATACATCAGAAAAAGAAAACTACAGGCCAATATGTCTGATGAACATTGATGCAAAAAATCTTTAACAAAATACTAGCACACTAAATTCAATAACAGTTAAAAAGATCATGATCAAGTGGGATTCATCCTAGGGATGCAAGGATGTTTCAACATATGCAAATTAATCAATGTGATACATCATATCAACAGAATGAAGGACAAAAATCATATGATCATTTCAATTGATGCTGAAAAAGCATTTGATAAAATTCAACATCCCTTCATGATTAAAAAAAAAAAAAAAACAAAAACAAAACTTAAAAAACTGGGTCTAGGCGGGCCGGAGCCCAGGCCCGGCCCAGCAGCACCCCCCAGGTAGACTGGGGCGAGGCCATGCCGACACAAGGTGAGACCACTGCTGGAACATCCAGTAATGGATAAAAATGAGCTGGTTCAGAAGGCCAAACTGGCCGAGCAGGCTGAGTGGTATGATGATATGGCAGCCTGCATGAAGTCTGTAACTGAGCAAGGAGCTTAATTATCCAATGAGGAGAGGAATCTTCTCTCAGTTGCTTATAAAAATGTTGTAGGAGCCCGTAGGTCATCTTGGAGCATCGTCTCAAGTATTGAACAAAAGACAGAAGGTGCTGAGAAAAAAACAGCAGATGGCTCAAGAATACAGAGAGAAAACTGAGACCTAGCTAAGAGATAGCTGCAATGATGTACTGTCCCTTTTGGAAAAGTTCTTGATCCCCAGTGCTTCACAAGCGAGAGCAAATTCTTCTATTTGAAAATGAAAGGAGATCACTACCATTACTTGGCTGAGGTTGCCGCTGGTGATGATAAGAAAGGGACTGTGGATCAGTCACAACAAGCACACCAAGAAGCTTTTGAAATCAGCAAAAAGGAAATGCAACCAACATATCCTATCAGACTGGGTCTGGCCCTTAACTTCTCCGTGTTCTATTATGACGTTCTGAATTCCCCAGAGAAAGCCTGCTCTCTTGCAAAGACAGCTTTTGATGAAGCCATTGCTGAACTTGATACATTAAGTGAAGAGTCATCCAAAGACAGCACACTAATAATGCAATTACTGAGAGACAACTTGACATTGTGGACATCGGATACCCGAGGAGACAAAGCTGAAGCAGGAGAAGGAGGGGAAAATTAACCGGCCTTCCAACTTTTGTCTGCCTCGTTCTAAAATTTACACAGTAGACCATTTGTCATCCATGCTGTCCCACAAATAGTTGTTTACAATTTATGACAGGTTTATGTTACTTCTATTTGAATTTCTATATTTCCCACGTGGTTTTTATGTTTAATATTAGGGGAGTAGAGCCAGTTAACATTTAGGGAGTTATCTGTTTTCATCTTGAGGTGGCCAATATGGGGATGTGGAATTTTTATACAAGTTATTAATGTTTGGCATAGTACTTTTGGTACATTGTGGCTTTACAAGGGCCAGTGTTAAAACTGCTTCCATGTCTAAGCAAAGAAAACTGCCTACATATTGGTTTGTCCTGGTGGGGACTAAAAGGGATCATTGGTTCCAGTCACAGGTGTAGTAATTGTGGGTATTTTAAGGTTTGGAGCACTTACAAGGCTGTGGTAGAAACAGATATCCCACAGATACCACATGTTAAACCATGTATATCTGTGGAACACTCAATCTCAATGTGCATACCCTTGACTATAGCTGCAGAAGTGTTCCTTTAGACAAAGCTGTGACCCATTTTACTCTGGATAAGGGCAGAAACGGTTCACATTCCATTATTTGTAAAGTTACCTGCTGTTAGCTTTCATTATTTTTGCTACACTCATTTTATTTGTATTTAAATGTCTTAGGCAACCTAAGAACAAATGTAAAAGTAAAGATGCAGGGAAAATGAATTGCTTGGTATTCATTACTTCATGTATATCAAGCACAGCAGTAAAACAAAAACCCATGTATTTAACTTTTTTTTTAGGTTTTTTGCTTTTGTGATTTTTTTTTTTGATACTTGCCTAACATGCATGTGCTGTAAAAATAGTTAACACGGAAATAACTTGAGATGATGGCTACCTTTGTTTAATGTCTTATGAAATTTTCATGAACAATTCAAACATAATTGTTAAGAACACGTGTATTAAATTCATGTAAATGGAATAAAAGTTTTAAGAATGGAAAAAAAAAACAACTGGGTATAGATGAGACATACCTCAACAAAATAAAAGGCATATATGACAGACCCACAGCTAGAATCATATTGAACAGGGAAAAACTGAAAGCCTTTCTTCTAAGTTCTGGAACGAGACAAGGAAGCTCACTTTAACTGTTATTCAACACAGTACTGAAATTCCTAGCTAGAGCAATCAGACAACAGAAAGAAAGGGCACCCAAAGAAAGGAAAAAGTCAAATTTTTCTTGTTTGCAGATGATATAATCTTGTATTTGCAAAAACCTAAAGATTTCACTACAAAACTATTAGAACTGAAAAACAAATTCAGTAAAGTGGCAGAGTACAAATCAACATACAAAAATCAGTAGCATTTCTATATGCTAACAGCAAACAATCTGAAAAATAAATCAAGGAAGCAATTCCATTTACATTATTACAAATAAAATAAAATATCTAGGAACAAACTTAACCAAAGAAGTGAAAAATCTCTATAATGAAAACTATTTGACATTGATGCAAGAAATTGAAGAGGACACAAAAAATAAAAAGATATTCCATATTCATAGATTGGAAAAATCAATATTGATAAAATGTCCATATTTCCTAAAGCAATCTACAGATTCAATGCAATCCCTATGAAAATACTGAGGATATTCTTTAAAGAAATAGAAAAAATAATCTTAAATTTCATATGGAACCACAAAAGACCCAGAATAACTAAAGCCATCTGAGCAAAAAGAACAAAACTGGAGGAATCACAACACTGCAGGAATCACAGAACTATAGTAACAAAAAGAGCATGGTACTGGCATAAAAACAGACACATAGGTCAATGGGACAGAACAGAGAACCCAGAAACAAATGCATACATCTACAGTGAACTCACTGATCATCAGAAAAATGCAAATTGAAACTACAGTGAGGTATCATCTCATTCTGGTTCAAATGGCTTTTATCTAAAAGACAGGCAATAATGAATGCTGGCAAGTATGTGCAGAAAAAGAAACCCTCCTACACTGTTGGTGAGAATGTAAATTAGTACAGCCACTATGGAGAACTGTATGGAGGTTCCTCAGAAAACTAAAAATAGAGCTACCATATGATTCAGCCATCCCTTTGCTAGGTATATGCCCAAAAGAAAGAAAATTAGTATATCATCAAAGAGATATCTGCACTCCCATGTTTATTGCAGCACTATTCACAATAGCCAAGATTTGGAACCAAACTAAGTGTCCACCAACAGATGAATGGATAAAGAAAATGTTGGCACATATACACAATGGAGTACTACCTGCCCATAAAAGGAACAAGATCCTGTCAGTTGCAATAGCGTGGATGGACTGGAGGACATTATGTTAAGGGAAATAAGTCAGGCACATAAAGACAAACTTTGCATGTTCTCACTCATTTGTAAGAACTAGAAATTAAAATAATTGAACTCATAGATATAGAGAGTAGAATGATGGTTACCAGGGGTTGGGATGTGTGTGTGTGTGTGTGTAATTACTGGGTACAAGAAAAATATAATTAGAATGAATAAGACCTAGTATTTGATAGCACAACAGGGTGACTACAGTAAACAATGATTTATTGTACATTAAAAAATAACTAAAAGAGATCATTGGAATGTTTGGAACACAAAGAAATGATAAATGCTTGAGGTGATGGATTTTAAAAAAAAAGTTGATCTCATGAAGATAGTAGAATGATGGTTATCAGAGGCTGGAAAGGGTGGGTGGGGAGATGCACAGAGGTTCGCTAATGGGTGCAAACATAGAGTTAGATAGAAGAAATAAGTTCTAATGTTTGATAGCACAGTAGGGTGACAATAGTTAAGAATAATTTTTTGTGTATTTCAAAATATCTAGAAGAGAAGATTTGAAATGTTCCCAATACAAGGAAATGATAAATGTTTTAGGTGATAGACATTCTAATTATCCTAATTTGGTCATTACACATTGTATGCTTTTATCAAAATATCACATGTGCTTTAATATGTACAATTACATATCAATAAAATGTATTAATATTGGTTCACTAATCATAGTAAACACGTATAATAAAATGGGAACTTTCAGCACTGTCTGCTAAATTTTTCTGTAAACTTAAAACTATTTTAAAGAATAAAATTTATTAATTTAAGAAATAAGCTAATTTTTTTAAATGAAATTAAAATCAAACGTTTGTGAAATGTTTGAAAACTCTGAAACACTTTGATGGAACCCAGGATTTTGGGGAACATAACATGAGAACTACCGGTCTTATCAACAAAAATGATTCTGAAGTTGATTCAATTTCCATCACAGGAATCCTCACTTTTCACAGTAGTGTGGGACTCATAAGGACTGTTCATGCTGAAATCATGCAAAGTGATCTTAATAATCAACGGGGAAAACTACAATTGTTTAGTGACCTTTCAAAATTTTTTCATGAAAATGTAAAAAATATCTCTTGTTGGTTATAATGAATAGGGAAGTGAAAAAAGTAGTAACAAATATTTATTTAGTACACTGCAATTTAAAACATTAGAAATATTGAGATTTAAAGTGTTTTTCTAAAGAAAACTTACCAAAATAACCACTGCTAAGAATTTTTCTTCCTCTGTCTCTAAATTCTTAACTAATATCTTAAGATATACAGGTTGGTCTTACCTACTTATGGGAGACATTTTGGAAGGTGCACTTTAAAAGTATTTTTATTTTTCAACATTGAAAAATTTTATAGGTATGAACGCTTCAATCATTTCATTATAGGAAAAATTCCCCATGATTTTTTTTTTTTTTTAAAGACCTTGGTATTCACCCTTCGAGTTACAATTGGGACAACTGGGAGAGGGGGAAGAGTTGGAGTGGGATGAAGAACTAGGAGGGGCTCGACAGCTGGAGGTCTAGTCCACTTAGTTTTTGTACTGGAAGGGCTCATCACCAGTTTCATTGAGAAGACACGTGCGGATGAGGGCTTCTGTCACCGAAAAGGGGTCACAGTTGGCAGAGGGGTGATGGTCTTCAAAGTAACCCTTCTTCTCCTGGCCGACAGTCCAGGGAATGCATATGCTGGCGCTACGATTGGCTACACCAGCAGAAAAGTTGTTGATGTTGGAGGTTTCATGGAATCCAGTTAGGTGTCGGGCCTTGTCCAGGCCTCCTTTGGGATCACAGGCACAGATGTGGTACTGGTGTCGCTTGCTTAATTTCTTGATGGCCTCCCCAGTGTATTTCAGACCATTCTCCTCCCACATGGCCTTGGTGCTAAAGTTGGTATGGCAGCCTGCACCATTCCAGTTCCCAGGAATGGGCTTAGGATCAAAGGTTGCTATCACTCCAAAGTCTTCACACACACGATGCAAGATGAAACGAGCCACCCAGAGATGATCTCCCATGCTGATTCCTTCACAGGGTCCAATTTGAAATTCTCACTGGGGAGGCATGATTGGCATTAGTCCCCACAATCCTGACTCCAGCATACAAGCAGGCGCTGTAATGAGCCTCCACGATGTCCCTGCCATAGGTTCTGTCTGCTCCCACACTGCAGTAATATGGAGTCTGAGGCCCCGGGAAGCCACTGGAAGGCCAACCAAAGGGGTGGCCATTTGTCCCCATGAGGGTATATTCCTGCTCCATGCCAAACCAGGGGTGCTGGTTGCTCATCACGTCGATTATCCGTTTACAGGTGTGCCTCAAATTGGTCTCTGCAGGCTTTCGATTGTACTTGAAAACTTCACACAATACCAGCTTGTTAGGATCCTTACGGAAAGGGTCCTTAAACATAGCAGCAGGAACGAGATACATGTCACTGTTGGAGCCTTCAGACTGTAAAGTACTATAGAGCCATCAAAATTCCCCTCAGGCAACTCTTCCACACACTTGGGCTCACTGTCCAGGGTCCAGGTCTTGCAGTGCAGTCCTTTTCCAGTACCATCGATCCAGATATACATGACCCGGACTTTCTCACCCTGAGGCAGGGATATGTACACCTGCTTGATGCCTTTATTTAAGTGGGAACATGCTGAGGTGGTCATGGTGGAAGGTGTTCTGGGTGCCGAGCAGACGGGCCGGTAAAGGTAGGCCGCGAGAGCGAGGTGAGGAGAGGAGAGGAGAGGAGGCCTCTGTGCTGCTCACACGCTCCGCTCTTCACCCACTCTTGACTCTCCCTCATGATTTGTGTTCACACTTTTGAATATTCTAGTATTCAAGAGTTTCTAAGTTTTTTACTCAATTCAGTGACATTCAAAAATTTTCAAAATTATGGAACAATTTGCATAAGAAACAAGGACGTTTCTTTTTGCAATATTATTGTCCGTGTACATGGCAAGTATGTATTTCTCTTTGAAATATTATCTTTTTAAGTTGCATAGTGTGTAATAGTGGAGATAATGCTCCCACGCACTCTCTGAACTAAGATTTAATAAAACATTTCTACCTTCTCCAAAAAAACTTACCACACAAACAAACCACACACTTATCAAGAAAAATATGAATAGCACTTACCTTCTCATGGTATAACTTGTAATATGGCATGAACAGCTTTTCTATGCCTTTGCAAATTGTCATACTCCTAAGTTTTGATTATCTTCTAACATTTCATCCTTTGTACTTTCAATGTTATGACATATCTCTGAGAGGTACTTTAATGTTAAGTTTTTGCTGGCATCACTTCCTCTAACATGAGGTCATCCTTTCCTCATTTATAAGATGATTGTCTTCACTACATTCCTCTCACCTTATATCTAGGGTTTCTTAGAGGGTGGCGGTATCACTCATGGTCAGCTATTTTTTCTATAACTCCATTTACATTAGATTCAAATTTCACCTCAGCATCATCACCCTTTGGATGAATTACTGTTGCCAGGGCAATGGGTTCCTACCCCGATAAAAGAGTAGACTCCTGTAGTTGACAGGTCCACCAGAATCACAAGTGGTGGGGAGGGGGAAGTTTCTCAAATAGACACTACATATTCATGATAGATTTTGCTCCTATCACACATTGTCATAACACTATTTATAGTGATAGAGGATTGTATTAGTTCGTTCTCGTGCTGCTATGAAGAAATATCCCAAACTGGGTACTTTATAAAGAGGTTTAATTGACTGACACTCTACATGGCTGGGGAGGCCTTGGGAAACTTACAATCATGGCAGAAGGCACCTCTTCACAGGGAAGCAGGAGAGACAATGAGTGCCGAACGAAGGCAGAAGCCCCTTATAAAACCACCTGATTTTGTGAGAACTCAGTCACTACCACGAGAACAGCACCAGGGTTGGTGGTGGGGTGGTGTGGGGGGGGACCGCTTCCATGATTCTGTTATCTCCACCTGGTCCCACCCTTGACATGTAGGGATTATTACAATTCAAGGTGAGATTTGGGTCGGGACACAGAGCCAAACCATAACAAGGATACCACCCCTAAGAGGACGAATCCAATCATCAAATCTTAAGCTCCTTTCTGCACAAATCACCACAATTCTGTTTGTCAAAGAATCTTTCCACCTCCATGGTTCCTAGTCATTATATCCCAGACGATCCTTACCTTCTGATCCACAAAAGAAATGTCCACATGTTCCATGTCTGGACTTACCTGTTCTCTGATTGCAATGGAAACAGGTGATACCTGCCTCTGATCTTCTTTACTTTGTGAACCCTTAAAATTTCCCTCTTGGCATTTCTAGCTTTGATACTTCTGTGCAGGTTTTGGTTCTGCCTACTGTTTTGGTGTTAATGTTTCTTGTTCAAAATATGAAATGAGGACTACCTACTTCAATTTTCATTCAAGGATGAAAAAAAAAAAAGGCCAACCTGCCAACATGGACTAGTGACAATATGCATTGTAAAGAAAATAGAACTATCATCCCTGAAGACTTGGAAAGACATGCTGCTGAAAATGCTTTGACTAGGAAAAGCAGACGCACATGTTAGGAACTATGATATCTGCTTAATGGGTTTTCAATAAAATAAATGTGTCTGGTGAAACCCCGTCTCTACAAAAAATACAAAAATTTAGCAGGGCATGGTGGTATGCACCTGTAGTCCCAGCTACTTGGAGGGCTGAGGCAGGAGGATAGCTTGAGCCCAGGAGGTCGAGGCTGCAGTGAGCTGTGATCGTGCCACTGCACTCCAGCCTGGGTGACAAAGTAAAACCCTGTCTCAAAAAAAAAAAAAAAAAAAAAAAAGAAAAGAAAAAAGAAATGTGTCAACCTGGGCAATATGGTGAGACCTGTCTCTACCAAAAAAAAAAAAAAAAAAATTAGCCAGGCATGGTGGCACACACCTGTAGTCCCAGGTACTCAGGGGGCTGAGGCAGGAGGATCCCTTGAACTTAGGAAGTCGAGGCTGCAGTGAGACATGATTGCACCACTGCACTTCAGCCTAGGTGACAGAGCAAGACCTTGTCTATCAAAAAAAGAAAAATAAAACAAAGGAAAAAGAGGGAAAAAGAAAAGCAAGTGATCACAGGAAGGCATTTAGATGATTGGAAAAGACTAGTAACCCAAATGTGATGTAAATAGAGATGAAAGGAATGTTAGCTGAGAAAGAATAGATTTCAATGAAACAAAAGTTGTGTAAGAAGCAGAACCGACATGAGATTCATGGAAAAATGAGATTTCTGTTGTATAAGGATACAATTGAGAAGTACTTCCAGACTGTAAAAACAAAAACAAAACTAAAACTCCAAAGTAGACATTATAAGAGAAGACGATAGATATAGAGACCAAAGGACGAAAATCAAATGTAGGAATAAAAGACTTTTATTGTAGGAATGGGGAGGAAAACCAACAAAAAAAGAAGTAATAATGCAAGGTACAAGAGAATAAAATGTTCCTGAGTGGAAAAAAAGAGCTTAGATTATATATTGAAGGAACTTACTGTTTTCCAGCAAACTTAACTTTTAATAAATGCTATATCTACCTATATCCTGTTGAGACTTACATTTCCAGGTAAATTTAAACACATTAATTTACCCTGCTATAATGACATAAAATATTTTTTTAAGAAGGAAAAAACCCATGATATTAAAGAAAATGGGAAAGCAGATGGAGGAAGAGGGAGATGACAGTAAATAAAAATTGTCAACAAAATTTTGCAAGCTGAAAAACAGATAGACTAGTAGTAATTGATTTAGGAGACCTGAGAAAGGACAAGGCTAAATATCTGTGAAGTGACTATACAAGAATAAAGCCAAATAACTCTAAAGGCTCAGGATTTGGTGGCAGCTACCTCTGAAAGTGGGGTTGAAAGTATAAGAATAGACACCTAAATCTCCTCTTCTGCTCCTCACAAACTTTTAACACTCCTTCTCCCACAAAAGGACAAAGCCTAAAGGTTTATGCTCCAGAAAAATTAATGCAGAGAGACCCTGGACTCACCTGGACCAGGCACAGCTAAGAGTGAGTGTACCGTAGTGAAAGCTGAATGCTCCTTGCTCTCTTTACCTACTGTGCCCTGAGAGTACGAGAGCCAGACCTATACCATCTATAGAGGCAGGAGATTGGAGGAGTCTTTTCTACCGCAAAATCCACAAAACCTAAATTATTTACTCTCTAGCTGTGTCAGGGTTTGCTGAACCCTGCTTTAGGCCATAGAAATTAAAGGGTTTTTGAAAACTAAACTTTGCTAGGTTTAATTTTAGAATTCCTTAATCAGTTCTCTTTACATTTTCTGAAGTTTATGGATAATAAAATGATAGCATTTCTAAGCAAAAGATAAAGATTTTGCAGAGTTCTTTAATAATGAATTCTGTGAAACGTATTCTATCAATAGAGTTAAGTTGAATTTTCCAGGATGGGAAAATGAAATCAAGCAATTTCCTCCTATGTTAGGGCATGGTTTTCTTGAATTCATTCCTGTTTGGGGGGTCACTGAGATTTCATATCTGTAAATTTATAACTTTACTAAATTTGGGTAATTCTCAGCTATTATATCATCGCATATATTTTCTACACCAATCTTTTTCTCCTCTCCTGGAATTCCACTGACGTGAATTTTATCTTTTTGATATTGTCCCCAAAGTCCTCATGATTGTACTCATCTTTTTTTTTCCAATTTTTTTTTCTCTGTTTTTCAGATTGAAAATTTCTATTGGTCCAAATTCAAGTTCGTGGATTGGTCAGTCATTTCCATTCTGCTCTCAACTGTGTCCAGTAAATATTTTATTTCAGATACTGTATTTCTCAGTTTTAAATTTCCAATAGGTTCCTTTTTATAATTTATATTTCTTTGCTTAGAGCTTCTATATTTCTATTTATTTCAATAGTGTTTACTTTTACCTTCTGGAAGATGCACATAATAGCCACTTTAAGGTATTTGTCTAATAATGTCAACATCTTGGGGTTGACATCTATTGATTATTTTTCCCTTAAGAATTGGTTACATTTTCTTAATTCTTAATAGGTTGAATCTTAGACATTTT
This sequence comes from Homo sapiens, assembly GCF_000001405.40. NCBI lineage: Eukaryota > Metazoa > Chordata > Mammalia > Primates > Hominidae > Homo > Homo sapiens. Next base: position 34,912,789 of record NC_000009.12, on the reverse strand, counting down.
GTGTACTAAATTGTGAGACTCCGGGCCTATTTAAGTCCTCTGCAGAATGTTGGTTGTTGTTATTTTAGCAGGAAGTTAACCCTGTTAGGTTTGGATGGAAAGTTCTGTCACTTTCTGTGGGCAGTAGTTCCAAAGACTTCAGTTTTCAAAGTATTTGCTATGCTGTTTGGGTCTGCTCTTTGCATGCACTACTTAGAGGTTAGTCTGGGACATAGGTGATGGGCTATATGGCAGTTCGGCTCTCAAAGCTTTTGCTATGTGTTTTTTTTCATGTGTTCTGAACATACACAGCTTAGTGGTGAGTATGGACTTGTGACAATGCACATGGAAGTTGGGGATCCCTTATCCCCCTCTCTCCTCTGCCGGATTTTCAATACATTCTTTGTTTCTCAGGAGCCCCTTTTTACCAGTCCTTTCGTAGAGAGTTGGAGTTTCTCCTAGAGTTGTGGCCACCATAATCATACAGTTCTGTGTGATTGGGTCTACACTCAGGACAAGGTAGTTAGAGAAAAGAGAGAGAGAAAAGTAACAGGAACTCTTCCATCCACCCACACACACTCTTCCTACTTCAGAGGCATTTTTTCCCCCAGTTCCTCCTTCCAGAGGAACAGGTTTTCTCTCAGGGTTCTGGGTTTCTGTACCACTGCCTACATGACAGCTCAGCCGTATGACCAGGGCTGGTCTTGGGCATGGTTTGGAAAGGATGAAAAGAGAAAAATAAAACCAAGGATTCTCTCTACACTCTCTAGCTTGCTTGGTCCATCTTTTCCAGACCTATGGCCATGAAAAATGGGATTTTCTCAGTTTTTGCTATCTGTTCCTGCTATATAGTTCCCCGACTCAGGTTGCCTTTGGATCGAAATTGGTAGGTAAAGGAAGAAAACAACCCAGGAAACTCACTGCCTCCATTTGGATTGTTCTTCAGGCTTTGACTTTCCTTCACAGCCAACTGCTACTTCTACTTCTCAGAGTTCTTAGATAGTTGTTTCTTGTATTTTTCCAGAATTTTTGTTACAATCAGTGGGGGAGATAGGCTGCAACTTGGCTAGACATGGGCTGGACAGTTTTTTTTTTTTAAATCTTAAATTTGATAAACAAAAGAGTTCACATAGCAGGCTTGAATTAACTGAAATTTGGAAAATTTCTAGACAAAACTAACTATTCCTATTGTCCTTCCTTTTATGGGTTGAAGGAGCAAATCTCCATGGTACCTAATGGCCATTTTAGAAAACCCCATAGGCCGGGCGCGGTGGCTCACGCCTGTAATCCCGGCACTTTGGGAGGCTGAGGCGGGTGGATCACGACATCAGGAGTTCAAGACCGGCCGGCCAAGATGGTGAAACCCTGCCTCTACTAAAAATACAAAAAATTATCCAGGCGTGGTGGCGGGCACCTGTAATCCCAGCTACTTGGGAGGCTGAGGCAGAGAATTGCTTGAACCCAGGAGGTGGAGGTTGCAGTGAGCCAAGATCATGCCACTGCACTCTAGCCTGGGTGACAGAGAGAGACTCTGTCTCAAAAGAAAAAGAAAAAGAAAAAGAAAAGAAAAGAAAACCCTATAAATATAGTTTATTCATAAAAGACAACTTTATAGTTTTTTTTTAAAAAAAGTCTGACTGACTTTTAGATAGGCAAAACCAAGAATAGTTAGTAATTAGACAAAATAGGCTGGGCATGGTGGCTCATGCCTGTAATCCCAGCACTTTCGGAGGCCAAGGTGGGAAGATCAGTTGAATTCAGGAGTTCAAGACTAGTCTGAGCAACATAATGAGATCTCGTCTTTACTAAAAATCAAAAAAATTAGTCAGGTGTGATGATGTGTGTCTATAGTCCCAGCTATTTGGGAAGCTGAGGCAGAAGGATTGCTTGAGCCTGGGAGATGGAAGCTGTAGTAAGCTATGTTCCTGCCACTGCACTCCAGCCTGGGTGGCAGAATGAGACTCTATCTCAATTGAAAAAAAAAAAGAAGACAAGATACAAGTCATATATATCTAAAGATAAATATGCCATTATTTTCTATAGGGTAAACTAAAAGTTAGAGACTCTGAATCATGACAAAACCCCTTAGTCTTTAAATCTATTTCTTTTTATCTCATAACTTAGTAACATAGACTACTATGTAAATACACTTTTAAGTGTTCACAAAAAGAAACCCTAACAGTTTAATAAAGATTTTAGACTTTAAAAACATTTACTTACATATTTTAATTGACAAATACAAATTATATATGTTTATCATGTATGTTGTTTTGAAATATACATTATGAAATGGCTAATTTGAGCTAATTAACATTTGTACTACCTCACATACTTATTTTGTATGTATGTAGCGAGAACACTTAAAATCTACTCTCTTAGAAATTTTCAAGATCTTTTAGACATTTTTGGCTGCTTATCTGGACTAGTTATTCCTAGAGTATGCACGTAATAACAGAGTGACTTTTATTTCTAAGTTAATTTTTAATGTTTTCCAAGAGAGGGGAAAAAAGGAGGGAAAGGAACAGAACAAAAGAGAGGAGATCCTCATTAGCATAGTGGTGAGCCAAAAAAAAAGAGGCAAAACTGGCTTCAGACAAATATGAATACTGTAGAAGACTAATTATATTCCTTCTTCAAGGAGAGGAGAGAAAGCTTAGATGCAGGAAAACCCATTTTCACATATAGACATACAACAGAGAGTTATTATGGCTGGTTGAAACAGTAGCTCTGACCTTCCACAATTTTATAAGTGATACAATTTAAAAGCCAGCATTTATTAACTCCTGAAGTACAGAAATGAAGGAGGGGTGTCTTCTACATGAAACAAAACAATCACTCCATCTTAATCAGGCAAGATGAAAAACCTCCTTAAAAGGATTTCTTCGGCTGGGCGCGGTGGCTCACGCCTGTAATCCCAGCACTTTGGGAGGCTAAGGCGGGCAGATCACGAGGTCAGAAGATGAGATCCAGACCATCCTAGCTAACACAGTGAAACCCCGTCTCTACCAAAAAACAGAAAAAATTAGCCAGGCATGGTGGCGGATGCCTGTAGTCCCAGCTACTCGGGAGGCTGAGGCAGGAGAATGGCGTGAGCCCGGGAGGCGGAGCTTGCAGTGAGCCGAGATCGCGCCACTGCACTCCAGCCTGGGCGACAGAGCGAGACTCCGTCTCAAAAAAAAAAAAAAAGGATTTCTTCTCTTTATGTTCTAAGGTACCTCTCAAAAGAACAAAGTAGTCTCTGTAAATAGTTCACTTAAGTGTTTGCTGCAATTGCAAACGGTCCCTGGTAAAATTGTGACAGACAGAGAAGCATACAAGATAATGTGATAGTGAGAAACCATACAGGAATTGAGCATTTGGCCTAGATGAGGCTCAGTTTGGGATGAGGCAGAACACGTGAAATGTCAATGGTCCATAGGATGGTGCTTGTCCAGAGCTTGGCCAAAGGCCAGGCTGCCACTGATGACAGGCTAGCTAAACCTCCCAAGTTGGGCAGACAAAACTAAACAAATTAGTCCCCAAAGACACAAAGATAAGATAAGGGAAGAGCCAGGTATAGCGGTGTGCTCTTGCAATCCCAGCTGTTTAGGAAGCTTGAGCCTGAGAGTTCGAGGCCAGCCTAGTCAACATAGTGAGACCCCATCTCTTAAAAAAGAGAAAAAGGGGGCCGGGCATGGTGGCTCACCTGTAATCCCAGCGCTTTGGGAGGCTGAGGCAGGTGGACCACAAGGTCAGGAGTTTGAGACCAGCCTGACCAACATGGTGAAACCCCATCTCTACTAAAAATACAAAAAATTAGCCGGGCATGGTGGCAGGCACCCTGTAATCCCAGCTACTTGGGAGGCTGAGGCAGGAGAATTGCTTGAACCTGGGAGGTGGAGGTTGGAGTGAGCCAAGATCGCACCACTGCACTCCAGCCCAGGCGACGACGTGAGACTCTGTCTCAAAAAAAGAAAAAAAAAAAAAAAGAAAAGAAAAGAAAAGAAAAAAAGGATGAGGTAAGATAAAATAAGATTGAGAAAGAAGTCCTTATAAGGATTTGAAGTGGTGACCCGAGACAAAGTCTGTCCAAAGGACACCATACTATGGAGGCTTTCTGAAGTCCTCAACCCCTTGTGTACTGGCTTGAGGGACTGTCTTATTGGATCTTTACCTGTCTTCTCCCTATAGATGTTTCCTGTTCCCTTTTCCCAGAGACATGCATGAGTTGCTCCCTTATCTCCTACTGGTCTTTGCTCCAATATCATCTTCTCAGACCTCCCCTTGCCACCTATTAAAAATGACAAATCTTGTTTATACTCTTGACTTAGTCTCTTCTTTATTTTTCTCCACTGCACTTATCACCATCTAACATACTACATATTTTCCTATTTGTTTGCTTTCTCTCTCCTTCCACTAGAATGAAAGCTCCCAGAGGGATTTTTTTTTCTGTTTCCGTCTTGACTATAACAATGCCTTTCACATAAACAAATGTACCCAATTTAAATTTGAGGGATCAATGAATTGTCTATGGCAGTGGCAGTGAAGACAAAAGCCTTAAATGGAGCCTAAAATATCCTTACAACAAGAAGTGCCCCTTCCTCAATTACAAAACATTTGTTTCTGGGGTATGGTATTAGTTCCATAAGCTAGAAGAGAAAACTTACAGCAGGTGAAAACTACTGTGAAGAGGCCGGGTGTGGCAGCTCACGCCTATAATCCCAGCACTTTGGGAGGCCGAGGCGGGCAGATCACGAGGTCGGGAGTTCGAGACCAGCCTGACCAACATGATGAAGCCCCATCTCTACTAAAAATACAAAAATTAGCCAGGTGTGGTGGCGGGCACCTGTAATCCCAGCTACTCGGGAGGCTGAGGCAGGAGAATTGCTTGAACCTGGGAGGTGGAGGTTGCAGTGAGCCGAGATCATGCCACTGCACTTCAGCCTGGGTGACAGAGCAAGACTCCATCTTGGGGGAAACAAAACAAAACAAAGCAACAAAACAAAAAACAAAAAACAAAACCCCAAAACTACAGCGAAGAAAGAAATCAAACTGGAAGGATAAGAAAAAGGGGAAAAAAAACTAAACAAAGACAATCCAAAAAGAGGATTAAATTGGATGAAAGACTGGACCAATGAAAAGAGATAGAGTGCAATGGATGAAAGAAAAGATGGCATTTTGAAGCACTAGCCTTTTACCGATAAATGTTGTATTACAGGAAAGGAGTATCTGTGATCTACGGGACAATCAATTATCAATTATGTAAAATACTAACTATATGAAACCACACTTCGTCTTCAGAGCAGAGGTTCCCCTTCTAGGTGGCAAAGGGGAAATGTCCCTTCACCTTTAGAAGGGTCTATGAAAATCAACCGACAAAAAGCAGATTAATAGGTGAAAAGGCATACAAGTTTATTAATGTGCATGAGGGAGGGGATGATTAATAGAGTAATTATTACTGAATAACCCAGTGTGGTACAGAAATTTACATATCCTTTTTCATGGACAGTAGGAAATAAGGAATGTCAACAATTCCTTTGAGGGGCAGTAAGTCATTAGGGAGAATGAATGGACCCAGGAGTTGGGAGGCCTACGTTAAGGGAAAGTGAGAGGTAGAGCTACACGGGAACAAAGGTTGTCCTACACAGATAAAGTTCCCTGGGTGATCTCTTGGGGCTACCATCAGCAGAACAGATGAAAAATCTGGATCAGCAAAGTGGCTCACAACTGTAGTCCTAGCCCTTTGGGAGGCCAAGGAGGGAGGATCCCTTGAGGCCAGGAGTTTGGGACCAGCCTGGGCAATATAGTAGACAACCTGTCTCTATGAAAATAAAATAAAAATTAGAGGGGTGGGGTGGTGCTCACCTACAGTGAGCTATAATCACACCACTGCACTCTAGCCTGGACAACAGAGCAAGAGTCTTCTCTTTAAAAATAGTGTGTCTGGGTGTGGTGATGACACCCAATTTCTTCTCTTCTCCAGTGGTTGATCTTTCCTGGTTATTTGAATCCCTATGGAGGGGATTTCAGACAACTGCATTGCATTTCTTTTGGAAACAAAGTTACTTGTTTAGATAAGGAAATTCCAAGAGAGTCCCTCCCTGCACTTTGAGTGGGGGGAATAAAAGAGTTAGGGGTTAGGGTTAGGGATCTTGATTCTGAGGCAGCTTTTTTTTTTTTTTTTTTTTGAGATGGAGTCTCATTCCATTGCCCAGGCTAGAGTGCAGTGGCGTGATCTCGGCTCACTGCAAACTCTGCCTCCTGGGTTCAAGCGATTCACCTGCATTCTGAGGCAGCTTTTAAGGCCTCACCATGTCAAAGCATCAGGAAGGAAGCACCATGTCAAAGCACAATGAAACTTAAGATTCCTTTCTGCTGACTCCAAATTTTTAGACAAAACTTTACACCTTTAACCACTTGTAAATTAAAGAATCTCTCAATCCATGTATAACGTGTAAGATCTGCTTCAAGACATCCTGCCTTTCTGGGCTGAACCAATGTATACCCTTCATGTACTGATTTATGACCTTGCCTGTAACTTCTGCCTCCCTAAAATGTATAAAACCAAATTGTAATCCAACTGAGGCAGGCACACTTTCTCAGGACCTCTTGAGACTATGTTACCCAGGCCATGGTCACTCATATTGGCTCAGAATAAACCTCTTTAAAATATTTTCAGAGTCTATTTTTTTCCACTAACAGCCCCAACACCCTCAACAACTTCTCACTTCCTTTCCCCCCTCCCTGTTTCTCCCCTCTAATCCTTCCTGTCTTTCCTTCTCAACCCTCAGGACTGCATGTGCACACACCCACAAAGACCAAAAAATCTGTGTAGAGAAATGCACCCACACAGACGTTTATACCTAGAAACACATATGGTCAGGTTCTGAAGACCCATCTCCACAGTTCATGTCCACGTGACACAGAAAAACATTCCCATGAGGAGATATCCACAACCCCAGTTTCCACACGAAGACAAAATAAAATCTAAAACTCAGTTAATTAAGATCAAATATATACAAAATAAAATGCACTCAGAGTAAAATAAATATTTCAGGAATCCTTCTGTTATTTCTGCATGTTATCATTACACAGAGACACCAGCAGTTTATGCATGTTGATTCCTGCATTTTGGATCACTCCCTCTTCCAACTCCACATATTAAAATCCTCTCTCAGCTTCAAGCACCAGCTTGAATGCCATCTTCTACATGAAGCTTTCCCAGATCACTTCAGCCAAAAATAATCTCCCCTTTACAGGAGATTTATATAGCAACTTTATATAATATTTATAAGGAGATTATATACCACATACTCTCAGATACCGTATTATTGTATAGATACCTATTATTTCCCACTATGCTGAAAGCATGTAACTTTTAAGTTATCAGAATTCACTTCTACATACTTTTATATCCCCTACAGTGTTTTATTCAACAAATAGGTTTTAATGAACACCACTTTTAGCTAACAGGGAAAAAACTAAAGCACAGGAGAGGAAGGCGGCTTAGATGAGAAATGGGGGTGCTTGTTCTCCTCTGGTAGGAGGTCAGGTTGTGGTCATGCCAGTAGTCTGGTGTTTAGGATTGCCCTCCCTGCCTCTGCAGCTGGTCAGGAGGGTGGAGACTAACGAGGGGAATCAGAACCAGGAGCCAGCTTTCAGCTTTATAGGCAGGCTCCATTTTGTCAAGGTTCTCTGAACCAAGTGGTTTCTTTGGGATGGATCCACTGTAACTAAACTAAAAAGAGACTGAAGCATAAATCAGAATGCTAATTTACTAATTTATAGTGATAAATGTAACTCCAACGAACCTGGCCTACTCCCACCTGCTGGTCAGGGCATTCTCTCCTTCTAGGTCTATTTACATTGCAAGTTCTAGGCTACTCAGAAGTGTCTGATGAATGTGTAATCCAGTCAGTGCTGTGAGTGCATAAACTAGAAAACCTAGAAGAGATGAATAAATTCCTGGAAAAATACAACCCTCCTAGCTCAAATCAGGAAGAATTAGGTACCCTGAACAGGCCACTAACAAGCAATCCTTTTGACACTATTCCACAAGACAGAGAAAGAAGGAACCCTCCCTAATTCATTCTATGAAGCTGGCATCACTCTAAGACCAAAACCAGGAAAGGACATAACCAAAAAAGAAAACTACAGACTGATATCCTTGATGAGTATAGATGCTAAAATCCTTAACAAAATACTAGCTAACCAAATCCAAGAACATATCAAAAAGATAATCCACCATGCTCAAGTGGGTTGCATACCAGGGATGCAGGGATGGTTTAACATATGCAAGTCAATAAATGTGATATATCACATAAACAGAATTAAAAACAAAAGTCACATGATCATCTCAATAGATGCAGAAAAAGCATTCGACAAAATCCAGCATCCCTTTATGATTAAAACTCTAAGCGAAATTGGCATACAAGGGACATACCTTAATGTAATAAAAGCCATCCACGACAAACCCACAGCCAAAATAATACTGAATGGGGAAAGGTTGAAAGTATTCCCTCTGAGAAGGGGAATAAGACAAGGATGCCCACTCTCACCACTCCTCTTCAACATAGTACTGGAAGTCCTAGCCAGAGCAATCAGACAAGAGAAAGAAATAAAGGGCATCCAAATCAGTAAAGAGGAAGTCAAACTGTCACTGTTTGGTGACAATATGATCGTCTACCTTGAAAACCCTTCACTGTTTGCTGACAATATAATCGTCTACCCTAAAAACCCTAAAGACTCCTCCAGAAAGCTCCTAGAATTGATAAAAGAATTCAGCAAAGTTTCCAGATACAAGATTAATGTACACAAATCAGTAACGCTTCTATACACCAACAGTGACCAAGCGGAGAATCAAATCAAGAACTCAACCTCCCTTACAATAGCTGAAAAAAAATAAAAATAAAATACTTAGGAATATACCTAACCAAGGAGTCAAAAGTCTTCTGCAAGGAAAACTACAGAACACTGCTGAAAGAAATCATAGATGACACAAACAAATGGAAACACATCAATCTCATGGATGGGTAGAATCAATATTGTGAAAATGGCCATACTGCCAAAAGGGTCATGAGTGGAACAATCTCAGGTGCTAGTGTCACTGGGCTGTGACAACCTAATGCCTTTCCTGCAGTTGGGGGACACACCTGATGAGAAGAACTAGGTGTGTACCAGGATGACACTGGAGACCTTTGGATCCAGCCTTGCTCTTTGGTTCCTGTTTTTAAAAAATTTACTTTATTTCATGTCATTTTATTTTTGAAATAGGGTTTAGCTCTGTAGCTTGGGCTGGAATGCAGTGGCACAATCACAGCTCGCTGCAGCTTCAGCCTCTTGGGCTCAAGTGATTCTCCTGCCTCAGCTTCCTGAGTAGCTAGGGCTACAGAAGCATGCCACCATGCCCAGCTAATTTTTTATTTTTTGTAGAGATGGGGTCTTGCTGTGTTGCCCAGGCTGGTTTTGAACTCCTAGCCTCAAGTGTCCTCCTGCCTTGGCCACCCGGGCTCCTATCTTAAAATTTATTTTATTACTGTCCTTCTTTTAAAAAACTACTGGATATGTGAATAGTCTGCAATTTCAAACAGCTTATTTATAATCATTCTGAGTATTTATATCCTCTTAACTTGAATGAAATAGAGGTGGCAAGGACCTTAGTGGAGTTTAGAATCAACCTTTTTATCTATCTCTAAGTTGCTGTGATGGGCTAGTTATTTTACTTCTTGGTGATTCAGTTTCCTCTTGTATAACGTGGGATAACAATACCTGGGTCTGGCTGGTGGTAAGCACTGAATGAGGTGAGGCGTATAACAGGCCTGGCACTGGGTAATGCTGCTCAGTCAGGGTTAATTCCCCTTTCTTCCTTGTGTTCCTGAATTCTTTGACCTTTATTTATAGTTCATTGTCTAGGTTAGCTCATCGCCAGAGATGGCCAAACTCACCTATTATATGAGGACTTTTCATAATATTATCCACAGAGATTTGCTGACACCCTATTAACCACCTCCCCTCCCCAAGAAAGCTCTTTTCTTTTTCTTAATTGAAATCTGTCATAGATAGGAATAAAATTTCAGAACATTTAGAAACATTTTAAATGGTGAAAAGGATACAGCTACTGAAAACATTTTTGAAATCATGACTAAAATTTCATTTCATTTATTTATTTTTATTTTTTTGAGACAGGGTCTTACTCTGTCGCCCAGGCTGGAGTGCAATGGTGTGATCATGGTTCACTGTAGCCTTGACCTCCCAGTTTCAAAAGGTCTTCCCACCTCAGCCTCCTGAGTTGCGTAGCTGGGACTACAGATGCATGCCACCACGTCTGGCTAATTTTATAATTTTTTGTAGAGATGGGGTCCCATTATGTTGCCCAGGCTGGTCTTGAACTCCTGGACTCAAGTCATCCTCCTGCCTCATCCTCCCAAAGTGTTGAGATTACAGGCATGAACCATCATGCCCAGACTAAAATTTCATTTTTATGGGAGTTTCTTTTAGATGCATTATTGAGGCAGATGGAAATGTAATTATTTTGTTTGGTTGAGTAGTAACTATCAGTAATATTTAATAGGATAATACATTTTATACAAGAATAAGAATATAAATTCATTTTTACAATCATAGTAACATATTTTCAAGGTATAAACAAAATTTAATCATTTTGATTATAAGATCTTCATGTGTATATTATTAAATCAAAAGCATTTCTACATGTTTATTTATTTACGCATGACTCTGTCTTCTGAGTTTTTACTTTATTAGTAAGGTATTTGAAAACATTTTTGGAAGATTCTGTTTTTAATTATCTTTTTACTAGGGAAAATTTCAAATAACATACCTCCATGTACCTGTCACCCAACTTCAAATTAATATTTTTTAACAATCTTGTTTCTTCTTTACCCCCACACTAGTTACCTCCTCGTTTTGAAGTAAATTCCAGATATCAGAAATTTATACCATTAAATATTTTAGTATGCATCTCAACATATACAAGCTTTTACAGTGACAGAGCTACCATTACTAAACCTAGAAAGTTCAAAATAGTTTCTTCATATCATCAAATACCCAATCAGTGCTTACATTCCCTTGATTGGCTTATAAATTTATTTTTATTTTCTGGAACTCCTGACATCAGATGATCTACCTGCCTCGGCCTCCCAAAGTGCTGGGATTACAGGCATGAGCCACCACCCCTGGCCAGTCACCACGCCCGACCCCCTATTTTTATTTTCTATAATTTGTTTGTTGGAATCAGAATACAAATACAGCCCACAAACTTCAAGTAGTTGAAATGTCTCTTAATGCTCTTTTAATACATAGATTCTGCTCCATTGCTTTAACTTTTCTCCTTATAATTTTTTTGTGGAAGAAACTAGATCCTTTGTCCATAGTCCTGATTCTGCTGATTGCATCCCTGTGGTCTATCATGTTTGTTTGCCCTCTGTATTTCCTACCAATTATATGTTGCTGAATTTGATTTGCTAAAATGTTAAGAACTTTTGCATTCATGTTCATGAAGAATGTTGGTCTCTAGTTTTCTATTCTTGTAATGTCTTTGGATTTGGTATCAAGGCAATCCTGGCTTCAAACAATGAATTGAGAAGTATTCTCTTCTCTTTAAATTTTTGAAAGAATTTATGTAGAATTGGTATTATTTCATACTCAAATATTTGTTAGAATTCACTAGTGAAGAAATATGGTCATAAAAAAATAAGAGTTTTCTTGACAAGAATTTTTTTGAGACAAGATTTAAACTACAAATGCAATTTCTTTAAATGGATATAAGGCCATTCAGGTTATCTATTTCTTCTTAAGTTTTGATAGTTTGTGTCTTTCAAATAATTTGTCCAGTCTTAGTCCATTTGGTGCTGTTATTACAGAATACCACAGAGTGGTAATTTATAAAGAGAGAATTTATTCTCTCACAGTTCTGGAGGCTGGGAAGGTACCAGCATTTGATGAGGGCTTCCTTGCTGTGTCCTCACATGGAAGAAGGGCAGAAAAGCAGAAGAGAGAGAACCCACTCCTGCAAACCGTTTTTATAGTGGCATTAATCCACTCTGTTCTCATGATCTAAAACACCTCCCAAAAGGCCCCACCTCCCAAAACTGTTACATTGGGGATTAAGTTCCCAACACATAAAGTTTGGAAGGAACACATTCAAACCATAGCAGTCCATTTCATCTAAGTTGCCCATTTATAGACATTAAAATTTTCACATTATTATTGTTATTGAGACATGGTCTTACTCTGTCACCTAGGCTGGAGTGCAGTGGTGATATCTCAGCTCACTGCAACCTCCACCTCCCAGGCTCAAGCAATCCTCCCACCTCAGCCTCCTGAGTAGCTGAGACTACAGGTGCACACCACCATGTCCGGCTAACTTTTGTAGTTTTTGTAGAGATGGAGTTTTGCCATGTTGCCCAGGCTGGTCTTGAACTCTTGAGCTCAAGTGATCCACCCACCTCAGCCTCCCAAAGTGCTGGGATTACAGGCATGAGCCACTGTGCTTGGCCTTCACATTAATTGATTGTCCTTTAAATGTCTTTGGAATTTTGGTGAGTCACCTCTCTCATTCTCAATATTGGTCATTGGTCTCTCTTTTTTCCCAAAGTTCCTATGACTTTTTAAAACATGAAGGACCCTGGCCTTGCTGAGGCTTCCACCTCAGAGTGATGGTGTTTCGCTTGGCATAAATTGTATTCAAATTTCTTAACCAGGCTTCCTGAGTTCCCCACGGTGTCCATAAGTGGAGTCAATGCCTCTGAAATTCAATCAAATTTTGAGTGTGAGGGGAGAGACATAGTTTCATCAGAGTCTCAAATACAAACCCATAGCTGAGTGCCTTCTTGCTTGAGGGTTATTTTTGATACTTATTTAATATAGAGGTTGCTGGACTCTGCATCTAGAGATTCCGATTCATTAGTCTGGAGTGAAACCAGAAAATCTATATTTTTAACAAGCTCCCGAGTGATTCTGATATAAGGCTGGGATTGAGAGCCCACTGGAGAAGATAACCTTTGAAAGCTCCTGTCAGGGTAGAGATGTCACAGGACTAGGCATATTGGGTGGGCATGTGCTGCCCTCTAGTGTCTCTGGCTGCCATCTACTGTTACTCCCCACAATCCTGCATTGGGTAGTAATCCGCTGTGTGAGCTCTGGTGGTTTTGCTGCCTGACACTACTCTGGGGCTTCCTGCCCAACTCCCTGGAAATTCTAGCTCTTGGGCATTAATGAACGTGCTCATCTATAAAAGTGTTGCCACTGAGTTGCAGCAACTATGCACCTCTGTCCCCGGCACCTTGGTATATTTGAGATGTTCACTAGTATTTTCTGAGTATGAGACACAGCGAAGCTCTTTCGTAAGGCTTGTGTGGAGGGACAAGTCTCACACCAGTGGCATGTCAGTCACATGTTTCTTTACAAGGCGATAGGACTCATGGGTACGTATGAATTGGTAGCCATGAACAGTTCCTTGAAGAAATTCTATTGCAATCATTGTGGCTCTGCAGCATTATAATGAAAGCAGGGTCTGGCTTAAAGCAAGTTTTCTAGAAACAAATGAAGAATAATCCTTGATAGTTGTGCAGCCCTCCAGCGTCCACAGAGGCTTTTCGTGTAGTTCATCTCCCTCGTTTGCTGTTCGCTCTCAACCACGAGGCAGGAAAGGCAAATGTGATGATCCATGCCCACATCGTGAGAAATGCCAGGCTTAGCTGTGATCATTACATGAATGAGCCCTTGTTCAGGAAGACACTGATCCCACTGTCCTGTCCACACAAGCACCCTTGTCGATGAGCCCCAAACCAGTAAATAAACCTATGCTAAAGGCCTAATCTACAAAAAGGCATGAGACCATTTTTGGCTCAGCCCTTGGCTCTAATTCCTCAGCTCTGAGGCAGAGGAGCAAGGGCCAGGCGAATTGCTGGAGTGGAGTTTTCAGTAGATGGTTTTAATGGCTTGGTGGAAGGGCAGAGGCTGTGGGTTATCTGTGAGGTAAGTAGTGCACTGGCAGAAGCAGGTGCAGGACTTGCAGATGTGGTGATTCTGCTGGGTGCAAGACGTCAGGCTAATGGGTGACAAAACTGTTACAGCTGCATAGAGGGTGGCAACAGCTGGTTAAGTAGGAGTAATAAAAGTAATGAAGGATACAGGCTACTTTGCAGGTATGTTGATGACCTGCTACTAAAAAGCTGACTCAAGCTGCCTTTTAATTGATTTTTGTTAACCTTTCATTCAGTGCTCTTTGTTTGAAAAAGTCTTCTCATTCCTGTATTATGGAATTTGCAAGTTCAGGGCAGATGATGAAATAGCTCAAATTCATCCCATTTTCAGGTAGGACTCTTCTTAAATTATCCTTAATATGAAGATCTAGTTTCCTTTTGTAGGTATAAGAAGGACATTTAAGAAAAACGTTCACTGATGCAAATCAAAACCGCAATGTGATACCGCCTTACTCCTGCAAGAATGGCCATAATCAAAAAATAAAAAAACAGTAGATGTTGGCATGGATGTGGCAATAAGGGAACGCCTCTACACTGCTGGTGGGAATGAAAACTAGTACAACCACTATGGAAAACAGTGTGAAGATTCCTTAAAGAACTAAAAGTAGAACTACCATTTGATCCAGCAATCCCACTACTGGGTATCTACCTGGAGGAAACGAAGCCATTATTCGAAAAAGATACTTGCACGTGCATGTTTATAGCAGCACAATTTGCAATCGCAAAAACGTAGAACCAACCCAAATGCCCATCAGTCAATGAGTGGGTAAAGAAACTGTGGTATATATATATGATGGAATACTACTCAGCCATAAAAAGGAATGAATTAACAGCATTTGCAGCGACCTGGATGAGATTGGAGACTATTATTTTAAGCAAAGTAACTCAGGAACGGAAAACCAAACATCATATGTTCTCACTGATACGTTGGAGCTAAGCTATGAGGATGAAAAGGCATAAGAATGATACAATGGACTTTGGGGACTTGAGGGGAGGAGTGGGAGGAGGTGAGGGATAAAAAACTACAAATAGGGTGCAGTGTATACTGCTCGGGTGATGGGTGCACCAAAACCTCACAAATCACCACTAAAGAACTTACTCATGTAACCAAACACCACCTGTTCCCTAATAACCTATGGAAATAAAAAAATTAAAAGAGAAAAATGTTCACTAATCCATTTGTTTGTCAAATCATTTTTAGAATATTTTTCCTTATAGCTAGTTCAAAAAGAAACCCTTGTGCTAATGAATTTTTTGGTTGTTTTTAAGTTGTGGTAAGATATGCTTAACATAAAATTTACCATTTTAGTTATTTTTAAGTGTACAATTCAGTGCCATTAAGGGCATTCATTTATGAATAAGATGGTTGTATTCATCACCCCAAACAGAAACTTCTGTACCCATTAAACAATAACACTCTATTTCCCCCTTCTCTAGCCCCTTCCCCAGCAAAATGTTGGCTTTTGCTTCTTGTGGATGCCTTGTCTTTGAAACTAGATTTTTAAGAATCTTGAAAGCAGGTAGGCAATACAACTCAAATGCCTTTGTACTCTCAACACTGCCCAACTTAGGGTTAAGCACGTATTGAGTGCTCACTATTCCTGTCTGGTGGAGGAACTAATGCTGGAGGAAGGATCAAATACCCTTTTCAGAGATTTTGTTTGTTTGTTTTTGAGGCAGAGTCTCATTCTGTCACCCAGGCTGGAGTGCAGTGGTGTGATCTCGGCTCACTGCAACTTCTGCCTCCTGGGTTCAAGCGATTCTCCTGCTTCAGCCTCCTGAGTAGCTGGGATTACAGGTGCCCAGCACTACACTTGGCTAATTTTTTGTATTTTTAGTAGAGATGGGGTTTCACCATGTTGGCCAGGCTGGTCTCGAACTCCTGACTCAGGTGATCCGCCTGCCTCAGCTTCCCAAAGTGCTGGGATTACAGGTGTGAGCCGCCGCACTTGGCCCCTTTTCAGAGATTTTGAGCCTAAGACCAACCACTTTTATCAGGGCAAGAACTTCTCAAGGAAACTCAGAAATCCTAGGGTGTTGGGGACATGCCATAATATTGATAGGGGTCATGAAGTTAACATTAATGTGAGAATCAGTGGGCAAAGGAGTGGTAGATCCCGGGGTTAAATGAGGAAAAATCCTGCTCTGCCTAAAGTTATTCAAATTCAGATTTTCATAAAACACTCTTTTAGGCAAACATTCCAACCACGGTGGATTCAACCAAAGAGCCACAAGTTTGTGAACCTTAATCGAAAGTTTTGCCAATAACTCATCTCCATGAATAGGCTAGATGCTATAAAATCTGTAGAGGCAATTCTGGAAAAATCAAGCCTTGTACAGAGCTCCAGAAGTGAGCCTCATTCATTTGCCTCCATGAAAGGTAGTGCTTACAATCTCTGCTCACCCATCTCAGGCTGGACCACGCAGATTGGGAGAAGTCCTTCTTTAACTCTCAGAAAGTTATTTAAAAGAACATCAGCTTTGTCCTTTCCTTGACATGTCACACACTGCCCTCTTTCTGAACCTCTCAGTACTGACCATATATCATTGCTGGTGGCATTAAAAATCGGTTTCCAAGATTTAACAATATGATGCTTGCCCTATCCTCTATTTTTTGTTGTTGTTGTTATCTTCCCAGTACAGATGATGTAGTTCATGGAGTTCCTCTGATCTATCCACTGTCTCTCTTATAGGGCATGTAGTGTGCATAGAGACTCGGTGTCATATGCACACTAGGTGTCAGGAATAGGTGTCAGGCCATTGTAGTAAAGGGGAGAGCTAAGCCATAACAGTATAGAGAGTAGAGAGAACATGAAAAGGTACATGTTGCCCATGACCTTGGCATCTTTTGCCCCAGGCTCTGTAGCCCATACAGAGCACCAGACACCCTCATCTGAACATTGAATCACCATAGTAAGCCTCTTTAAAAACAAATAAAGGTCTGTGATGCTATCCCTGCCTTGTGGAACAGGAGGGCTTTGTGATGCAGTCTGGTGATTTGGATCCCTCTTCTGTGAGGCAGAAATGACGAGGTGTAAAATCTGGAGGTATTAGGTTCTAAGACAGTGAAAGACTAGGGAGAGGGATGGCTAGTGAGGTTTAGATCATGTTGAGCCCTACCTTTGTTTTGTGGGATGTTGGATATCCCTTATACACCTATGGATCCATCTGCATTATTGCATTAATTATTTGGCAAGTGAAAAAGAGCTGCCAAAAATTAAGCTTGGTACCTAACAGGAGCTGTTGCCGGGTAGGGAAACACTATGACCATGGCTAAATTGATGTGCCTCAAACAAGATTTTATCCCCGAGCTTTCTCTTGTTACTCTTAGCCCTTGCTTTTTAAAGGGGTCTCCTCACTGGACACCAGAAGAGCTCCCAATTTGGGTGATTATTCTGGTTGGCAGCTATTTAGGGCCATTTGATGGCTGAACTCCTTTGACTTCTGGACCCATCCATCCTTTAATCTGTTCCACTTTTCCTCCCGTCTCATCCTAAAGTCCCCACCGAACTTATGAAAGGAATGGGGGTGGGAGGCATGGAGTATGGAAGAGCGTGAAAGTGAGTCAGAAATAAGCAAATAAGAAAACTCTTGGGGTGAAAAAGAATACAGAAAGGAAAGATAGAAGAGTATATAAAATTGGAACACAGAAAAAGACCAGGAAATGTTTATGAGTTTTGTTTCATTTTAGATATGGGAAAAAATGGTGTAGCAGCTTTGCATTCTAATGTTTTTGTCTTTAAGTGTCACCGAAGAGTCCAACAAAAGTCTGGAGATAGAACATCAAGAGGTAAAGTCCCAGTCTCTCCTCTAATTCACTTCTGCTGTGAGTGAGGTTCCCACGGATCCTGACCCTCTATGACCCCTGCTGCTAACAGCAGGTGCTCTAACCACTGCAGACTCTAGTACCCCCCAGGGACAATTTCTCATGGAAGACTTCCTTGGGTGGAAAATCAGAGCCTAGGCACATTAAAAAATTCTCTATCTTATCCTCCTGAGAATAAAGAATGAGGAATTAGGGCAGAAGTCCTCAACTCTGTCATTTACTAGTTTTACAAACCTGTGGAAGTCTCTTCAACTCTCAGTCTTGTTCTCCATAAAATGGGCATGTGATGATCCTTCCTCACTCCCAGTGTGATGGTGAAGGACAAATGAGACAAGGTGCAGAACAACACATCGTAAACGGTTAAGTTATACACAGATGTGACTTAGTGTTCTGACTCTGGGGTTTTCAGTATCTTCTCATTAAAAGGCCTTCAGCTTCTTATAGGATGTCCCTGAATCCTCTCCAGTTCCACATAACACTCACTATCTTCTGTTTCTTCAGCTAGGAGAACTTCACAGGAAGAAGCCGAGAAGTTGTGGAAGCTGCTGTTTCTCATGAAAAGGTAATCTCTTCTTCTTTGCAGTCTCCCAGCTGCTAGTCTGGTCTGTGATCATTTCTCAGCTTGGCTTGGGGTAGAGATGAGAAGAGGGAAAATGGATGGGAGGGAGACATACACAGTGGAGGCTGGTTCACTAGTTGAGAGAGTTACCAGGGCAGGGGGGCTGGGCCAGACATCTCAGGAGGGAAGGGTCACCCAATTCTGCTTTGGGCTAGGGTCACAGTAGTTCTAGAATTCAGGCTTGTACTAGTGTATAATTCATAAAAGACTCTACACAGGGTTGCATTCAGCCACGAGACAAGCTATCCAGTCAAGAGGAATGGATTTTGCGTAAAGAAGTCATCCCTGTCTTATTCTCTTTATTCCCTCTCCTCTGAGTCTGACTGGATTCTGCTGACATTACCTCCTCTGGCTCTGTCATTAGGGAGACAGCCCTCAGATGGCAGCCTATCATCTTATCCTCTTCTTAAGATTTCTAGAGAACAGGATTGATTCCCAAAAGATATTGAGTATATCAGCAGGGATACCAAATAGCTCTCAGAATGCAGAGGTCCTACATGAACTTCAAGCCCAAATACCGGGCTTTGGGTTTCTTAGCCTCAAATGAGACTGATCCGGGTTCTAACTGGTGATGCCCCATCAGCTAACCGCCTGGCTCCGTTCTCCTAGTTCAGCTTTTCAACAAGGTCAACAGAGAACTGACCCCAGCTCCCAGCCTTCTCTGAGGGCCACGCCCTCCCATGGGTCGTCTGAAGCCTTGCCCAACAAGCTCTAGATCGTCAGCCCAGCCCACCTTGCCAAATGGCTTTTTCTTTTTCTTTTCTTTTTTCTTTTTTTTTTTTGAGACAGAGTTTCACTCTTGTTGCCCAGGCTGGAGTACAACGGCACAATCTCGGCTCACTGCAAGCTCCGTCTCCCAGGTTCAAGGGACTCTCCTACCTCTGCCTCCCAAGTAGCTGGGACTACAGGCATACGCCACCATGCCTGGCTAATTTTTGTATTTTTAGTAGAGACGGGGTTTCACCATGTTGGCCAGGCTGATCTCGAACTCCTGACCTCAGGTGATCCATCCACCTCAGCCTCCCAAAGTGCTAGGATTAGAGGCATGAGCCACTATGTCCAGCCTCCAAATAGCATTTTCTTAGGAAGAAAAACAGGGAGGTAGACAACAAGAGAGTGTAGGCTCCAGGATTTTCAGGACTGGGAAAGGACAATGCCAACCCCGGCCCACACTTTTCCGAGAAGGCAGATGTCACTCCATCATTAATGTTTGTCATGTTTCTCTTCCCAGCCAGGGCTGGCTTCCTCAGGAAGGAAGTGTGCGGCGAATCCTGTGTGCAGACCCCTGCTGCCAAATCTGCAATGTTATGGCTCTGGAGATTAAGCAATTGCTGGCAGGTGAGAACAACCAGATCTCCCTGACTTCACTGGGGCCATCACAGGGCTCCTCTTGCCTAGAGGCTTTGTCCACATCTAGTGTGTCTTTTAAGCATAGTCAGGATCTGGGCTCCCCGAAATCCAAAGAGCTTTCACTGGCATCTGTAACTCCAACACTGTCACAATTAATGGATCAGAAATCTTTAACCCAGTCAGCTGCCCGGTCAGCTGGTGCAGACAGCGTCCAAGATTCCTGGGCTGATCACTTTCAGCGAGGACAGAGATCTCAAGTCCCAGCTGTGTCCCAGGTCATGGGATCTCTGTCTTCAAACTTTGAGAAGCCTGGAATTCCTCTGAGCCAGCAGGAGAGGACGAAAAACAACTCCAAATTTGTCCTGGAGAACCAAGGTCAGCAGCCCTTGAATACTAGATTCCCTTTCTTTCCCTGAACCCAGAGCTCCCAAACCTACAACAACAGCCTATGACCCTACATTCCTTTCCAACTGCTATTGCAATGTCCAAAAAGTCCTGAGGAATCTTCAAGTACAAGTGGGATATTGTTGCACATATTCCCACAACTGAGGGCTCCCAAGATCTGTGGAGGAGTTCTGTACAGGGCAGCTTATACCACACCACTTCTAATTTTCCAAAGGATGGAAAACAGACAGACAAACAGCCATTTCTTTCACTCTGAATGCTATCTCTAAGGCTTCTGCTGAACAGATGAGCTTCCATCCCTTTGACTCTGGGTTTCATGGGAGGCTAGCTGGTTCACCTAAGCTTTCAGGGTTTTTGAAGGATCCACTATGGACTCAGAGCAGAAAAATTACTGTGAACAAATCCCAAACCCCATGGTTCTAGCTCTACCCTCTCCTCTCTTTCAGCTTCTAAGTGGCCTCTGTCCACTGCCTAGAGGATGCACTGAGGCCTCAATGTGCCACATCTGTAGCTACCTTACTGTGGTTTCTCTTTTCTGCACATTACTGTCTGCCTTTAGAGATCCCTGGTCTGACTTTAGAAATCTCCAAAACAGGGGAGGCTTTGGCCCTTTCTCTGCAATGATTTCTCCTTCACCTCTGTACTAATTAAAATCTCCCCTCCTTCCCCACCTTTTCCCCCACATTCTCCATCTGACCATTGACAAATCCAGATCAATGTCCTATATCTGACTCAGGCTAAGTGAAAGCCTTGGAGTGGCACCTGCTGTAGAGGCAGCTCCAGCTTCAGTGGAGTTTGCCAGCTGTTGTCCAGAGATCTCTGTAGATCCAGGAAATCATACAATGTAAGCCCTGAGACATGTTGCAGCCTTTCCCACTAGATCCAGGACACTCTTTGATTGGGGAAGTCCATTTCAGTCCTCAAGAGGGAGGAAGCATTCTCCTAGACCATGCCCAGAGGCTGCTAGGATTCCACCTCCAGGAGCAATTGAAACAGAGGGTTGATTTGTCATTGCTGGGACCTGATCCAAAAGATCCAGCAGTCTATCCAGTTCATCCTGTGACCTGATGACCAATAATCCCTGCCCTGGAGCAGTACAGCCCTGACCTATGTGGGTCTTCCCAGCATGCAGCACCAGAAGCTAGTGGGAATAGTGGCCTTCTCTGATCCACTGTGGCAGGAGGGCCAGTCCGCAATTGTTTCCTCAGGCCAAGGTAATGTTGCAGAGCCACATAGATTACAAATATGGGAAGATCTGCTAGGGCATTGTCCCTGCCCATATCTGCCATTGTTGGGACTACAAATCACTGGTTCTGCAGTATTCCAAAGGCCTGGGAAGCAACTTGGCGCCCCTGTCCTCTGAAAAGCAAACACCTGGACCTGGAAGTGACACATATCAGCCCCTACACAGATCAGGAAAGGACACTCTGAATACTGACAGGCCTTGATCAGCAGCAACAGGGCTTGCCAGATGCTGTTACTGATGATCCTGAGCTGCCCAGACCCTGTCCCAGGAAGCCACTGAGAAACTTGAGACAAGTTTTGGCCCTTCTGTCAGGGCTGCCTGCTCTCTATTATGTGGCTCTTTCCAGGGCTGTGGCCCAGGCAATCACTCACGAATCCACAATCACAGATTGAGCCCATCAGAGCCTCTGACTCAATCTCATCTGAACAGCAATGTGTAAGTCCTGGGCCATGCTTTCAAAACACCAATGAAGCTTGTGTAGATAACGTACAAGTGTTCTGCACTAAAACACAAGCTGATGGAGATGGTACCGCTAGAGAGGCAGACAGATCCTCACAGCCCCTAATCACTCAAGGCACCCATCTTGGCCAAACTAAATTTCTACCTGAAAAATAAATTCCTTGAGATACATTTGGGAAGTCCCATAAAAACAAGGGAATCCAGGGAACAAATTTTCACCATCCCAAAGAATATCTCCACACAGGGATCCTTTAGGAGTCTAAAGATTGCTAAACCAAGGGAAAACATTACTCCAGAAACTTCATATCCCACCAGGCATCCCATGGGCCCCAGATCCAGAAGGGGTTGGACTGAAAGAACAGCTTGCCGTTGAACTAAAGACAGTGCAGCAGAGCTACAAGTGATCTAGTTCCATAGCAGTACCCCATGCCCACTGGGATTCTGGGATCTCACACCCAGTGGAGACATGACAGAGGCCCAGGTACTTTGTGTTCAGCTGGAGGCTAGAGTGAACAACCCAGCCTGGAGGGCCCTAAGCCCCTTAGACCAGGTCTTTGCAAAAGTGAGGACAAGTCCCTACCCCAGCAGAGAAAACAGTTGACCCAGTGACATTTGATGACATTCAAAGCAGCTGGAAATCACAGAGAAGGGGGTGTCTGGACAGCACTGGAGCTCTCCCCAGCCAGAGAGAACACCCTTTCTGCCAAGGTTCAGGGGCGAGTAGGGGCACTTCTAAGCAGAACTCCAGAGCTCACAACTTGCCAAATATATCTCCAGGATCTTTCTTAGGTAAAACTTTAGTTTAGCTAAGATGGTTGCCTTGAGCAGAGACTAGCAAGGATCTGTCTGGATCTGCGGAGCCCCATTTCCATCCTCTCAGTACTGGCTATTGCTGTTTCACCAGCTTCTCCATAACCTTGAGTTCCAAGAGCATCCTCCAGGATTACTTGGGGCAAAAGGACCAGATAAGAATAATTTGCAAAGCTGTTAGAGTAAGCCGAATAACCTCATCCAAACAAGGATTTCTGAGAATGCCAAACCGGGAGTGCCCAGAGCTTAAAGGGCCAACTTACTGGGCCATTACTTGCTGGGCCAAAATTTTGCAAGTACAGTATTTGAAGGGGTAAATTTTTTTCAGATCCAAAGTTTTCAGGGTCAAATAGTTCAGGGCCATGTTTTACAGGGCAAAATTTGCAGGGTCAAAATTTGCAGGGCCACACTTTCTAGGGCTAAGAGTTGCAGGGTCTGGTAAGGGCAGTCCATACTCACAAGAGCATCATCCTTCCAGAAGCTCCAGAAGTTGGCTTGGATAACAAGATGAAGCTGTTTCTGCACTGGATTAACCCTGAAATGAAAGATCGAAGGCATGAGGAATCCATTCTCCTTTCTAAGGCTGAGACAGTGACCCAAGACAGGACAAAAAACATTGAGAAGAGTCCAACTGTCACCAAAGATCATGTGTGGGGAGCTACAACACAGAAGACAACAGAGGACCCTGAGGCTCAGCCTCCTTCTACTGAGGAGGAAGGCCTGATCTTCTGTGATGCCCCCAGTGCCTAAATAATCTGCTCTAGCAACACTCCCTTCAGTCCAGCCAATCCTGGGTCCTGTGCCACTCCTACAAATGCTCCAAACTCTGTCCTCAAATGACTTGTGCCACTCAACCAGGAAATCTATCCCAGGTCTAACTCACCTCAGCAGAAGGCACTGTTTTATGCAAGAATACCCATCACAAGAAAAAGGAGTTCATAGGTTCCTGAACCTCTGCAATCCCCTGAAAAAGGCTTTCATTGCCATTTCCATTAACATGCAGGTGAAGCAGGGCATTCTCCAAATATACTTTGTACCTTTAAGCAAAGAGCCACCTGTTTGTGCCTCCTCATTTTCAATGTGGTATATGATAGACAGAGAGAGTAAAGGACCTAAAAAGTACTTCTTATGTGGTATAGAAGCTTAAATCACATTTTATTTCAGATGGGTCAGCATTCCACATGACTCCTCCCAGCCCCACCCTAGAATGTGGATAAAGGGACTTGACAGAGAAGAAAGGCCCTTGTTTTAGGTGCATTGAAAGAAAAGGTCAGGCTTGAATTCTATTGTCCCATGGTGTGTTGGGCTCAGAGGAGGAATGTGGACATGGCGACAGTATAAGAAGCAGTGGCCAGGAATCTAATGCATTTTTGGCCCACAGGCAAAATTCATTGATGACTTCTATACAGTATATGCTGACAACCTGGAGGGAAGGTCCTTTAGAGTGCCATGGTGCTCCTTCCTTTAGGAATGTTTATCAAAAGCACACAGCTAATATGACAGATGTCAAAACCAGATGATAGAATCTCCCTGTCTTTTCTCTGTTGTTACTGAGATCTTTAAGGGTAACCCAACTGAGAGCCCACTCTAGTCCTGTTGCCTGTTCCAACCTCCATTGCCTTTCATTTGCATGGAAAGAATGCTGCCTAGAATGAAGACTAGTTGATGAAGAGATCCCTAAAAGGGTCACAATAAAAACAACTTTGGGCTGAGTCTTGCATTCAACAATTCAAATATTCAAGTACTTGCTATGTGGCAGGCACTATGCCAGGCACTACAGAGATAACAGTGAACGATACACAGGCCTTGTCTGAAAAAGCTCATGAACTCTGGGATAGACAGTCATATAAAAAGTCATTAGAAGCAATAAGATGAAAGTACATAGGAGGGCACTTAATCTAGTTTTGGGGAATGTTCACGGAAAGTTTCCTAGAAGAGATGATATGTAAGTTGAGTTCTAAAGGATGAGCAGGCATTAGTTGGGAAGGAGGTAGGGAGTAGAGAGGCTTTCCCAGGCTGAGAGTACAACATGAACAGAGGCATGGCATCAAACAACAGCATGCCGTGTCAGAGAATAGTGACTCACTGGAGAAACCCCTGTATAATAATTAAAAAAAAAACACAGTAAAATGTTTAAGGGATCAGAATGAGGTTGCCAAGCTGGAGAATGAATGGCATTCTTTCACCCATTCTTCATTCCTTCAATAAATATTGAGCACCTATTATATGCCAGGCACTTTTATAGGCACTGGGAATACAGCAGTGAACATAAGAGGAAAAAAAAATCTGCTCTCTCAAGGAACTTACGTTGGGAGCATGCCTGGGAGGAAGAGAAAAGAAGTATAAATAAAAAACATAGTATATAGAAGGTGACCAGATATATGCAAAAAAATCAGGGTAATGGGATTAGAGAAGACTTCAAAAGGGATACAGTTTTAAATAAGGAGCTCAGGGAAGGTATCACTAGGAAATTAAAATGTCAGCAAGGACTTGAGGGTGATAAGCGAGTAAACCACGTGGGTAAACGAGGAAGAGCATTCCAGTCAGAAATTACAGCTAATGCAGATGCCTGGAGGTTGGAGGATGCCCAGCCTGTCAGAAGGAACAAGGAAGCCAGTGAACCTAAAGCAGAGTAATAAAGGAATAAAGGGAGAAAGTGGTAGAGGATGACTCCAGTGGTAAGGGGCCACATGGTATAAGGCCTGGTAGAAAGCCAGCAAGGAAGCTGGCTCTTACTTTGAGTAAATTGGGGAGCTATTAGGGGGTCTGCTTAGATCTGACTTATGTCTTAAAGGATCACTTAGGTCATAGTGCTAAAAATAAGAGCATTGGGGGTATAGATTTGAGTAGAAGCAGGGAGATTAGTTGTAAGGTTACTCCGGTAATTATAGCAGCAGAGGAGATTACAGGCATTTAGATGCTGGGTTCACTTTGAAGGTAGAGACAATAGGATTTACTGATAGATTGGATGTGGACAATTAGAGAAAAAAAAATGTCAAGGATGGCACCAAAGTTTTTGCCCTGAACAACTGGCAGGATGAAGTTGCCATTAATTGATGTGGGAAATACTGACATTGGAGTAGGTTTGGTGTTACTGGGTGATGATGGTGGGAGAAGGGGAGTCAGGAGTTCACATTTGTATTGTTTGAGATGTATATGTTGCTTAGATAACGTATGTTGCTTAGACAATTTGGGCATTTGAGCCTGGAGTTCAGGGAAGAGCCCAGACTCCAGGCAGATAGACAGCCAGAGATAGATAGATAGATAGATAGATAGATACATAGATACATAGATACATAGATAGATACATAGATAGAGTAGATAGACAGAGTAGACAGACAGACAGACAGACAGACAGATAGATAGATAGATAGATATAAAACCATGAGACTAGATATGACCACGAAGGGAGTGAGTGTAAATGAAAGAGATCTAAGGACTGGTCTCTGGGACTCTTTAATGTTAAAAGATTGAGAAGAAGAGGAAGAACCAGTAGGCAGAGGAGACTGAGACACAGCAGCCAGCAAGACAGGAGGAAAGCTAGAAGAGTGTCATACTGGAAGCCAAGAAAGGAAAGTGTTTTAAGGAGAAGGTGACCAATGGAATGACAAGTTGCCAATCAGTCAATTAAGATGCGGACTTGTAGTTGACCATTAGATTTAGCAATATAAAGATCACTAATGACCCTGAGAAGAATAGCCTCAGGTGGAGGAACCGATGTGACTGGAGTGGATTCAAGAGATAATGGAAGAAGAGCAGTTGGTGACAGCAAGTGTAATCAACTCTTTCAAGGACTTTTGTTTCATAGAGGTGAAGGAGGGGAGAGTGGGATCCAGAAGGAGTTTTTTTTTTTTTTTTAAGACAGGAGATTTAGTCTGTTGGATGGTTGGATGGTGATAGAAAAGATCCAGTCAAGAGGGATAAGCAAGACAGCAAGGGGAGAATTTCTGGAAGAACGCTGTGGTGTGGAAGTGAAGAAGTGGGGGGCAAGTACCCAAGTCAAGGAGCTGGATTTTACTAAAAGCAGACATTTTTCTGCTGGTAGGGAGAAGTAGAGTTAATGATGGAGGAGATAATGGATTAGAAGAAGAAAGAATTCCTCCACATATAAGGGAGTGTGGGCACAGACCCAGAGGGACGAGTGAGGAGCTAGGAAGGGACCATGGGTATGGGCAGGGGGAATGGTATGGAGAACCAAAGCCAGAGAGCTGGGTGTGGAGAGAGATTCTGAAAGTTACTATTAGGGCCCAAGCAGTTGGTGGCAGTGTGAGAGTGTAGGTGGGCAGGGAAAGGTGGTCAAAGCCTGCTGCTGATATCTGTGCAGCAGGTGCTCTTGGAACACTGTACCAGCAGGAGAGATCACAGAGAAAGCTCTAAATGCATGGAGCCTGAGCAAGAGCATGGGGCTGGAGATGGAGAAACAGGGCAGGGGTGGCTTCCTAGTGCTTAGTGAGGTAAAGGACCAGGGAGGCTATCTGGGTGGGAGAAGTGGACTGGGAAGCAGGAAGACAGAGGCTGCCTTGAGCAGATGGGAGGGACCTCTGCTTTGGCCACCTGATATTCCTCAGAGGGTGGCACCTTTGCATTCTGCTTCCAACCTACCGCAGAGGAGCCAAGAGCTGAAGAAAGGGCAAGAAGTGAAATGACTTCTTTATGACATGTTGTGAGAGACAGTTGGGATGCCCCTGGTTCCTAAGGAGATCCAGGATTATCCATCATCCCATCATCAGAAGGAGGAGGTGGCAGGACTTTCTTCCTCGGACAGGACCTCAGCGTTAAGCATAATGTGTCCTTCTGAAAAGATGCAGAAAGCCCAGATAGGAAGAAGCATGGATGTGTCTGTCCTCTGAATGATGGTTCTGTGCCTAAGGGATGGGGGCCCAGTCCCTAGATGGCCTCCAGGCCATGAAGTCACAAGGTCTAGGCCTACTGAGCCAACACTTAACAGGTATTTGCCTAAAGCATCCCCAAAGATCAAAGGAGGTTTTGTGTTAAGCACATCCTGCCTGCCTAGTGGGAGTTGGGCAGAAAGCCATGTAGGAGGAAGACACAGAGTGAAAGAAAGTGACTCAGAAGGGTCACAGCAGCATGAAGTGGGAATCCGGGGTTAATGTACACACATCTTGGTTTAGGGTGGGTGGAGCAGGTCCTTCCCCTGGTCCCCCACAGGCTCCTACATGCCCCAGCAGATTTTGATTATGGTAATTTCAGGCAACTGGCCACCATGATTGCTCGACTTTTGTACCTGCTCACCCCTAGCAGGGAAGTCATAGAATATGCTGAGTGCAGAAGTGAAAGTGGAAGCATCACCTTGTTTTGTTCAGTCCTGTCATGCCACCCTCTTGCCACCCTCCAGGGACTGGGAGTCCCTGAGCAGGAGCAGAAACTCCTTGCTCTGCTCAAAATTCCATCTTGTTGGAGATCCTCAGACACAAGGGCTCAGTTATCTCCACTCATCCACTCAAATTCTAGTCCCTCTCCTCTGTGGGGCTTGGGGTAAAAGTCTAGAAGGACTAGAAAACATCCTCTGCCCCTAAATTTCCACATGCTCTGAGTCTCATCCTCTTCCAGCAGCCTCATTATCCTTTAGTTAACCTTCCTATCATCACCCTATATTTGTCCTTGCCTGTCCAGGCTGAATCCCTGGAAAGACGTTAATAATGTATGAACACAGTAGTCCAAAAAGCTGTTATAAAAATACTCATACTGTGGTCTTATTTTTAAAAAATTATTCTTTTTTTAAATGCTTTAAGTTCTAGGGTACATGTGCACAATGTGCAGGTTTGTTACATATGTATATATGTGCCCTGTTGGTGTGCTGCACCCATTAACTCGTCATTTACATTAGGTATATTAGGTATATCTCCTAATGCTATCCCTCCCCACTCCCCCAACTCCATGACAGACCCTGGTGTGTGATGTTCCCCACCCTGTATCCAAGTGTTTTCATTGTTCAATTCCCATCTATGAGTGAGAACATGCGGTGCTTGGTTTTCTGTCCTCGTGATAGTTTTCTCGGAAGGATGGTTTCCAGCTTCATCCATGTCCAAACAAAGAACATGAACTCACCCTTTTTTATGACTGCATAGTATTCCATGGTGTATATGTGCCACATTTTCTTAATCCAGTCTATCACTGATGGACATTTGGGCTGGTTCCAAGTCTTTGCTATTGTGAATAGTGCTGCAATAAACATACGTGTGCATGTGTCTTTATAGCAGCATGATTTATAATCCTTTGGGTATATACCCAGTAATGGGATGGCTGGCTCAAATGGTATTTCTAGTTCTAGATCCTTGAGGAATCGCCACACTGTCTTCCACAATGGTTGAACTAGTTTACAGTCCCACCAACAGTGTAAAAGTGTTCCTATTTCTCCACATCCTCTCCAGCACCTGTTGTTTCCTGACTTTTTAATGATCACCATTGTAACTGGTGTGAGATGGTATCTCATTGTGGTATTGATTTGCATTTCTCTGATGGCCAGTGATGATGAGCATTTTTTCATGTGTCTGTTGGCTGCATAAATGTCTTCTTTTGAGAAGTGTCTGTTCATATCCTTCACCCACTTTTTGATGGGATTGTTTGATTTTTTCTTGTAAATTTGTTTGAGTTCATTGTAGATTCTGGATATTAGCCCTTTGTCAGATGGGTAGACTGTAAAAATTTTCTCCCATTTTGTAGGTTGCCTGTTCACTCTGATGGTAGTTTCTTTTGCTGTGCAGAAGCTCTTTAGTTTAATTAGATCCCATTTGTCAATTTTGGCTTTTGTTGCTATTGCTTTTGGTGTTTTAGTCATGAAGTCCTTGCCCATGCCTATGTCCTGAATGGTATTGCCTCGGTTTTCTTCTAGGGTTTTTATGGTTTTAGGTCTAACATGTAAGTCTTTAATCCATCTTGAATTAATTTTTGTATAAGGTGTAAGGAAGGGATCCAGTTTCAGCTTTCTACATATGGCTAGCCAGTTTTCCCAGCACCATCTATTAAATAGGGAATCCTTTCCCCATTGCTTGTTTTTCTCAGGTTTGTCAAAGATCAGATAGTTGTAGATATGCGGCATTATTTCTGAGGGCTCTGTTCTGTTCCATTGATCTATATCTCTGTTTTGGTACCAGTATCATGCTGTTTTGGTTACTGTAGCCTTGTAGTATAGTTTGAAGTCAGGTAGCGTGATGCCTCCAGCTTTGTTCTTTTGGCTTAGGATTGTCTTGGCAATGTGGGCCCTTCTTTGCTTCCACACGAACTTTAAAGTAGTTTTTTCCAGTTCTGTGAAGAAAGTCATTGGTAGCTTGATGGGGATGGCATTGAATCTATAAATTACCTTGGGCAGTATGGCCATTTTCATGATACTGATTCTTCCTATCCATGAGCATGGAATGTTCTTCCATTTGTTTGTGTCCTCTTTTATTTCGTTGAGCAGTAGTTTGTAGTTCTCCTTGAAGAGGTCCTTCACATCTCTTATAAGTTAGATTCCTAGGTATTTTATTCTGTTTGAAGCAATTGTGAACAGGAGTTCACTCATGATTTGGCTCTCTGTTTGTCTGTTACTGGTGTACAGGAATACTTGTGATTTTTGCGTATTGATTTTGTATTCTGAGACTTTGCTGAAGTTGCTTATCAGCTTAAGGAGATTTTGGGCTGAGATGATGAGGTTTTCTAAATATACAATCATGTCATCTGCAAACAGGGACAACTGGACTTCCTCTTTTCCTAATTGAAAACCCTTTATTTCTTTCTCCTGCCTGATTGCCCTGGCCAGAACTTCCAACACTATGTTGAATAGGAGTGGTGAGAGAGGGCATCCTTGTCTTGTGCCAGTTTTCAAAGGGAATGCTTCCAGTTTTTGCCCATTCAGTACGATATTGGCTGTGGGTTTGTCATAAATAGCTCTTATTATTTTGAGATACGTCCCATCAATACCTAATTTATTGAGAGTTTTTAGCATGAATGGCTGTTAGATTTTGTCAAAGGCCTTTTCTGCATCTATTGAGATAATCATGTGGTTTTTGTCTTTGGTTCTGTTTATATGATGGATTACGTTTATTGATTTGCATATGTTGCAACAGCCTTGCATCCCAGGGATGAAACCAACTTGATTGTGGTGGATAAGCTTTTTGATGTGCTGCTGGATTTGGTTTGCCAGTATTTTATTGAGGATTTTTGCATCAATATTCATCAGGGATATTGGTCTAAAATTCTCTGTTTTTGTTGTGTCGCTGTCAGGCTTTGGTATCAGGATGATGCTGGCCTCATCAAATGAATTAGGGAGGATTCCCTCTTTTTCTATTGATTGGAATAGTTTCAGAAGGAATGGTACCAGCTCCTCTTTGTACCTCTGGTAGAATTTGGCTGTGAATCCATCTGGTCCTGGACTTTTTTTTGGTTGGTAGGCTATTAATTATTGCCTCAATTTCAGAGCCTGTTATTGGTCTATTCAGAGATTCAACTTCTTCCTGGTTTAGTCTTGGGAGGGTGTATGTGTCCAGAAATTTATCCATTTCTTCTAGATTTTCTAGTTTATTTGTGTAGAGGTGTTTATAGTATTCTCTGATGATAGTTTGTATTTCTGTGGGATCGGTGGTGATATCCCCTTTATCATTTTTTATTGCGTCTATTTGATTCTTCTCTCTTTTCTTCTTTATTAGTCTTGCTAGCAGTATATCAATTTTGTTGATCTTTTCAAAAAACCAGCTCCTGGATTCATTGATTTTTTTGAAGGGTTTTTTGTGTCTCTATCTCCTTCAGTTCTGCTCTGATCTTAGTTATTTCTTGCCTTCTGCTAGCTTTTGAATGTGTTTGCTCTTGCTTCTCTAGTTCTTTTAATTGTGATGTTAGGGTGTCAGTTTTAGATCTTTCTTGCTTTCTCTTGTGGGCATTTAGTGCTATAAATTTCCTTCTAAACATTGCTTTAAATGTGTCCCAGAGATTCTGGTATGTTGGGTCTTTGTTCTCATTGGTTTCAAAGAACATCTTTATTTCTGCCTTCATTTCATTATGTACCCAGTAGTCATTCAGGAGCAGGTTGTTCAGTTTCCATGTAGCTGAGTGGTTTTGAGCGAGTTTCTTAATCCTAAGTTCTACTTTGATTGCACTGTGGTCTGAGAGACAATTTGTTATAATTTCTGTTTTTTTACATTTGCTGAGGAGTGTGCTTTACTTCCAACTATGTGGTCAACTTTGGAATAAGTGCAATGTGGTGCTGAGAATAATGTACATTCTGTTGATTTGGGGTGGAGAGTTCTGTAGATATCTATTAGGTCTGCTTGGTGCAGAGCTGAGTTCAATTCCTGGACATCCTTGTTAATGTTCTGTCTCGTTGATCTGTCTAATGTTGACAGTGGGGTGTTAAAGCCTCCCATTATTATTGTGTGGGAGTCTAAGTCTCTTTGTAGGTCTCTAAGGACTTGCTTTATGAATCTGGGTGCTCCTGTATTGGGTGTATATATATTTACAATAGTTAGCTCTTCTTGTTGAACTGATCTCTTTACCATTATGTAATGGCCTTCTTTGTCTCTTTTGATCTTTGTTGGTTTAAAGTCTGTTTTATAAGAGACTAGGACTGCAACCCCTGCTTTTTTTTGTTTTCCACTTGCTTGGTAGATCTTCCTTCATCCCTTTATTTTGAGCCTATGTGTGTCTCTGCACATGAGATGGGTTTCCTGAATACAGCACACTGATGGGTCTTGATTCTTTATCCAATTTGCCAGTCTGTGTCTTTTAATTGGAGCATTTAGCCCATTTACATTTACATTTAAGGTTAATATTGTTATGTGTAAATTTGATCCTGTCATTATGATGTTAGCTGGTTATTTTGCTCGTTAGTTGATGCAGTTTCTTCCTAGCATCGATGGTCTTTACAATTTGGCACGTTTTTGCAGTGGCTGGTACCGGTTGTTCCTTTCCATGTTTAGTGCTTCCTTCAGGAGCTCTTGTAAGGCAGGCCTGGTGGTGACAAAATCTCTCAGTATTTGCTTGTCTGTAAAGGATTTTATTTCTCCTTCACTTATGAAGCTTAGTTTGGCTGGATATGAAATTCTGGGTTGAAAATTCTTTTCTTTAAGAATGTTGAATATTGGCCCCCACTCTCTTCTGGCTTGTAGAGTTTCTGCTGAGATATCTGCTGTTAGTCTGATGGGCTTCCCTTTGTGGGTAACCTGACCTTTCTCTCTGGCTACCCTTAATATTTTTTCCTTCATTTCAACTTTGGTGAATCTGATAATTATGTGTCTTGGAGTTGCTCTTCTCGAGGAGTATCTTTGTGGCGTTCTCTGTATTTCCTGAATGTGAATGTTGGCCTGCCTTGCTAGATTGGGGAAGTTCTCCTGGATAATATCCTGAAGAGTGTTTTCCAACTTGGTTCCATTCTCCCCGTCTCTTTCAGGTACACCAGTCAGACATAGATTTGGTCTTTTCACATAGTCCCATATTTCTTGGAGGTTTTGTTTCTTTTTACTCTTTTTTCTCTAAACTTCTCTTCTCGCTTCATTTCATTCATTTGATCTTCAATCACTGATACCTTTTCTTCCACTTGATCGAATCAGCTACTGAAGCTTGTGCACACGTCACGTAGTTCCTGTGCCATGGTTTTCAGCTCCATCAGGTCATTTAAGGTCTATACTGTTTAGTTAGCCATTCGTCTAATCTTTTTTCAAGGTTTTTAGCTTCTTTGTGATGGGTTCGAATATCTTCCTTTAGCTTGGAGAAGTTTGTTATTACCTATCATCTGAAGCCTTCTTCTCTCAACTCATCAAAGTCATTCTCTGTCCAGCTTTGTTCTGTTGCTGGTGAGGAGCTGCATTCCTTTGGAGGAGAAGGGGTGCTCTGATTTTTAGAATTTCAGCTTTTCTGCTCTGGTTTCTCCCCATCTTTGTGGTTTTATCTTCTTTTGGTCTTTGATGATGGTGACCTACAGATGGGGTTTTGGTGTGGATGTTCTTTCTGTTTGTTAGTTTTCCTTCTAACAGTCAGGACTCTCAGCTGCAGGTCTGTTGGAGTTTGCTGGAGGTCCACTCCAGACCCTGTTTGCCTGGGTATCACCAGCGGAGGCTGCAGAACAGCAAATATTGCAGAATGGCAACTGTTGCCACCTGATCCTTCCTCTGGAAGCTTCATCTCAAAGGGCACCTGGCTGTATGAGGTGTCAGTCGGCCCCTACTGGGAGGTGTCTCCCAGTTAGGCTACTGGGGGGACCCACTTGAGGAGGCAGTCTGTCTGTTTTCAGATCTCAAGCTCTGTGCTGGAAGAACGACTACTCTCTTCAAAGCTGTCAGACAGGGATGTTTAAGTCTGCAGAAGTTTCTGCTCCTTTTATTCTGCTATGCCCTGCCCCCAGACGTGAAGTCTACAGAGGCAGGCAGGCCTCCTTGAGCTGTGGTGGGCTCCACCCATTTCGAGCTTTCTAGCCGCTTTGTTTACCTACTCAAGCCTCAGCAATGGCGGACGCCCCTCCCCCAGCCTTGCTGCTGCCTTGCAGTTCAATCTCAGACTGCTGTTCTAGCAGTGAGTGAGGCTCCATGGGCGTGGGACCCTCTGAGCCAGGTGTGGGATATAGTCTTCTGGTGTGCCGTTTGCGAAGACCATTGGAAAAGCACAGTATTAGGGTGAGAGTGTCCCGATTTTCCAGCTACTGTCTGTCACGGCTTCCCTTGGCTAGGAAAGGGAATTCCCCCACCCCTTGCGCTTCCCAGGTGAGGCAATGCCCCGCCCTGCTTCAACTCACACTCCATGGGCTGCACCCACTGTCCGACAAGCCCTAGTGAGATGAACCCGGTACCTCAGTTGGAAATGCAGAAATCACCTGTCTTCTGTGTCACTCACGCTGGGAGCTGTAGACTGGAGGTGTTCCTATTTGGCCATCTTGGAACCAGAACCTTAAAAAATTTATTCTTTAGAGCAGTTTTAGGTCTGCAGAAAAATTGAGTGGAGTATGGAGAGTTCCTATATATTCCCCTCCTGCCACTGGCCCACATACACACTTTCCCTTATTATTAACATATTGCATTACTGTAATACATTTGTTACAATTGAGGAGCCAATATTGATACATTATTATTAACTAAAGCCTGTCATTTACATTGGGGTTCACTTTTTGTGTTATACATGCTGTGGGTTCTGACCAATGTATAATGACATGTATCAACCATTACAGTATCATACTGAATAATTTCACTGGCCTAAAAACCCCCTGTGCTCCAGGGAGGGGAACAGCACACATCACGGTCTGTCAGGGAGGGGGAGATAGGGGAGGGATAGCATTAAGAGAAATACCTAATGTAGGTGATGGGTTGATGGGTGCAGCAAACCACTGTAGCACCTGTATACCTATGTAACAAAACTGCACATTCTGCACATGTACCCCAGAACTTAAAGTATATAAAAAAAAATCCCCTGTGTTCTACCTATTCAGTCCCTCTCTCCCTTCCCCCAAATCCCTGGTAATCACTGAGCATTAAAAAAAATTATGGTAAAAATATATATAACACAAAGCATACCATTTTAGCCATTTTTAAGTGTAGAATTTGTTGGCATTAAATACATTCACAATGTTGTGTGACCACCACCACTATCTATTTCAAACGCTTTTTCATCATACCAAACAGAAACTCTGTACCTACTAAACAATAACTCCCTCATCCCTCCCCAAAACCCTGAGACCCTGGTAACCTCAATTCCACTTTCTGTCTCTGAGAATTTGCCTATTCTAAGTATCTCATATAAGTGAAATCATACAATATTTGTCCTTTTGTGTCTGGCTTATTTCACTTAGTGTAATGTTTTCAAGGTTTATCCATGTTGAACGTGTCAGAATTTCTTTTTCTTTTTTTTTTTTTTTTGAGACAGAGTCTGGCTCTGTTGCTCAGGCTGGAGTGCAGTGGTGTGATCTTGGCTCACTGCAACCGCTGCCTCCTGGGTTCAAGAGATTCTCCTGCCTCAGCCTCCCGAG
The DNA here is from genome assembly GCF_000001405.40 of Homo sapiens. Taxonomy (NCBI): domain Eukaryota; kingdom Metazoa; phylum Chordata; class Mammalia; order Primates; family Hominidae; genus Homo; species Homo sapiens. The sequence continues at coordinate 34,877,170 of NC_000009.12, read as the reverse complement.
TAGCTGGGATTATAGGCGTGTGCCACCACACCCAGCCAATTTTTGTATTTTCAGTAGAGACAGGGTTTCGTCATGTTGCCAGGCTGGTCACGAACGCCTGACCTCAGGTGATCTGCCCACCTTGGCCTCCCAAAGTGCTGGGATTACAGATGTGAGCCACCATGCCTGGCCACATGTCAGAATTTTGTTCCTTTTTATGGCAAATAATATTCCATTGTATGTATATACCACATTTTGTTTATCCATTTCATCTTTGTTTCCACCTTTTGACTATTGTGAATAATGCTACTATGAACATCGGTGTGGAAGTATCTGAGTCCCTGCTTTGTTTTCCTTTGGGTATATACCCAGGAGTAAAATTGCTGAATCATTATGGTAATTAATAGAGGAATTGCCAAACTGGTTTCTTCAAATGGCTGTACCATTTTACATTCCCACCAGCAATGCACCAGGGTTTCAATTTCTTTTCATCCTACAGAACACTTTCTTTCTTTCTTTCTTTTTTTTAATAATAGTCATTCTAAGTGGTATGGTGTATAATTGTGGTGTTGATTTGCATTTCTCTAATGAGTAATGATGTTGAGCATCTTTTCATGTGCTTATTGCCATCTGTGTATCTTCTTTGGAGACTGTCTGTCTATTTGAACACATTGCCCATTTTTGAATTGGGCCTTTTGAGATTTTTGTTGTTGACTATGGATCTTTTTACTGTCTCCATAGTTTTGCCCTCTCCAGAATGTCATATAGTTGGAACCATACAGTATGTAGCCTTTTCAGATTGACTTCTTCACTTAGTAATATGTACTTAAGGTTCTTCCATGTCTTTTCATGGTGTGACACCTCATTTCTTTTTAATGCTGAGTCATATTCCATTGCATGGATATACCACAGTTTATCTGTTCATCTACTGAAGGACATCTCGGTTGCTTCCAAGTTTTGGCAATCATGAATAAAGCTGCGATAAACATCCATGTGCAGGTTTTTGTGTGGATATAGGTTTTCAATTTTTGGGGTAAATACAAAGGAGCTTTAATTGCTAGGTCATATGGTAAGTGTATTGGATCCGAGAGTCACAGAGATCCCTTTCTGTCATAAACATCTGGAATGCTCATGCTTTCTTTCAAATTCTTTTTAAAAGTCCATGGACCTAACTGGAATATCCAGCTAGGGACTTGGAAGGAGTGAGAGAGAGAGAGAGAGAGAGAGAGAGAGAGAGAGAGTGTGTGTGTGTGTGTGTGTGTGTGTGTGTGTGTGTGTGTGTGTAAGAGAGAGAGACGAGCTTTTGCTTAGGCTATTGACCTAGGAGGTTCTTGAAATGAGAGGCTGGGTCGATAGGCCCCAGACACTGCCCACATGCCTCATGAGCACCAGATGTGCTCTATGATTAGGTGAGGAAGCATGTCCCCACCTGAGAGGAACCGACACACCTGGTGGAAGAATGTAAAACTGAACACAATCCTTCACTGCATACATTCCACATGACCAATTAAATTGTCAAGGCTCCAGTGCTTTCCTCAGAAATCTTTCACGGTATGTTTTTCCATTTTTTTCACTGTGACTATGTAGTGACTGTGACCCATAGTAAGAAATATAATTTATGAAATGATCCTGCCGTATATTTTTATAAATGTTTATAGATCTGTAACTGAATTCAAAGTTTTGTGAAACAATCCTACTTTTATTATATGTGATGCTCTCTAATATTTTCTATCATATTTCAATAAAAAAAATCTCTAAAGGTGACTCTCTAAAATGATTTTGTGACAATAATAGGCCTGGACCTGCAGTTTGAAAAATACAGCCTTAGGATCATTTTACATTTTTTATTAAAGAAATACACTTTTGTCATTTTGTTTAAAGTTGGTTACCTCTAAAAGACAAGAAGAATATTGTGGAGTATAGGTAAGCTTTGTCCTTGACTGCAGTGATGCAAGAACAGAATTCTCAAGCTTAAGAGTGTGTGATAGTATATTCTCACTTTTTTGTGGAATCTAAAAATCAAATAAATTGAACTCACAGATATAGAGTAGGATGGTTACCAGAGGCTGGGAAGGATGTGGGGTTTGAGAGGAAGGTGAAAATGGTTCATGGGTTCAAAAAGATAGAATTAATTAATAAGACCTACTATTTGATAGCACAATAAGGTGACTATAATCAGTAATAATTGTATATTTTAAAATAACTTGAAAAATGTGTTAATAATTAGATTAGATTGTTTGTAACCCAAAGGATAAATGCTTGAGGGGACAGATGCCCCATTCTCCATGACGTGCCTATTTCATATTGCATGCCTGTATGAAAACATCTCAAGTACCCCTTAAATATATACACTTACTATGTACCCACAAAAATTTTAAAAAATAATAATAAAAATTTAAGAAGAGTCTGTGTGATTGAAAGGTCTAGTGAAAACGGACACTACTAACTTACCTTTGACTGGATAAAACCCTGTGCTATGTGAGAGGCTGATCCTTTCTGACCTGCAGGCATATCTAAATGAATGTTTGTTGGAGCATTGTTTATGGTGATTAAGAGGCAGAAACAACTTATTTAGTAATTCCCCCTATTAGGGGAATTACTAAATAACTTGTGATATACTCATGCTATAACAAAGAGAAAAAAACAGAGTCAATCCAACAGGAACAAAATGTCTGGAGCAACAAATCTCAAATGGTGAATTGGTTAGATCCTGGGCAGGCAGTGGGGTACATATAAGAAACTCCAGAAAGAGGTGAGAAACGAGTGGATTGAAAAAGCATATCCCTTGTTATTTTGAGATACGTCCCATTAATACCTAATTTATTGAGAGTTTTTAGCATGAAAGGTTGTTGAATTTTGTCAAAGGCCTTTTCTGCATACTGAATGGGCAAAAACTGGAAGGATTCCCTTTGAAAACCGGCACAAGACAGGGATGCCCTCTCTCACCATTCCTATTCAACATAATGTTGGAAGTGCTGGCCAGGGCAATTAGGCAGGAGAAGGAAATAAAGGGTATTCAATTAGGAAAAGAGGAAGTCCAATTGTCCCTGTTTGCAGATGACATGATTGTATATCTAGAAAACCCCATTGTCTCAGCCCAAAATCTCCTTAAGCTGATAAGCAACTTCAGCAAAGTCTCAGGATACAAAATCAATGTGCAAAAATCACAAGCATTCTTATACACCAGTAACAGACAAACAGCCAAATCATGAGTGAACTTCCATTCACAATTGCTTCAAAGAGAATAAAATACCTAGGAATCCAACCAGATGTGAAGGACCTCTTCAAGGAGAACTACAAACCACTGCTCAATGAAATAAAAGAGGATACAAACAAATGGAAGAACATTCCATGCTCATGGGTAGGAAGAATCAATATCATGAAAATGGCCATACTGCCCAAGGTAATTTATAGATTCAATGCCATCCCCATCAAGCTACCAATGACTTTCTTCACAGAATTGGAAAAAACTACTTTAAAGTTCATATGGAACCAAAAAAGAGCCCACACCACCAAGTCAATCCTAAGCCAAAAGAACAAAGCTGGAGGCATCACGCTACCTGACTTCAAACTATACTACAAGGCTACAGTAACCAAAACAGCATGGTACTGTTACCAAAACAGAGATATAGATCAATGGAACAGAACAGAGCCCTCAGAAATAATGCCGCATATCTACAACCATCTGATCTTTGACAAACCTGACAAAAACAAGAAATGGGGAAAGGATTCCCTATTTAATAGATGGTGCTGGGAAAACTGGCTAGCCATATGTAGAAAGCTGAAACTGGATCTCTTCCTTACACCTTATACAAAAATTAATTCAAGATGGATTAAAGACTTACATGTTAGACCTAAAACCATAAAAACCCTAGAAGAAAACCTAGGCAATACCATTCAGGACATAGGCATGGGCAAGGACTTCATGTCTAAAACACCAAAAGCAAAGGCAACAAAAGCCAAAATTGACAAATGGGATCTAATTAAACTAAAGAGCTTCTGCACAGCAAAAGAAACTACCATCAGAGTGAACAGGCAACCTACAGAATGGGAGAAAATTTTCACAACCTACTCATCTGACAAAGGGCTAATATCCAGAATCTACAATGAACTCAAACAAATTTACAAGAAAAAAACAAACAACCCCATCAAAAAGTGGGCAAAGGACATGAACAGACACTTCTCAAAAGAAGACATTTATGCAGCCAAAAAACACATGAAAAAATGCTCATCACTGGCCATCAGAGAAATGCAAATCAAAACCACAATGAGATACCATCTCACACCAGTTAGAATGGCAATCATTAAAAAGTCAGGAAACAACAGGTGCTGGAGAGGATGTGGAGAAATAGGAACACTTTTACACTGTTGGTGGGACTGTAAACTAGTTCAACCATTGTGGAAGTCAGTGTGGCGATTCCTCAGGGATCTAGAACTGGAAATACCATTTGAGCCAGCCATCCCATTACTGGGTATATACCCAAAGGATTATACATCATGCTGCTATAAAGACACATGCACACGTATGTTTATTGCGGCATTATTCACGATAGCAAAGACTTGGAACCAACCCAAATGTCCAACAATGATAGACTGGATTAAGAAAATGTGGCACATATACACCATGGAATACTATGCAGCCATAAAAAATGATGAGTTCATGTCCTTTGTAGGGACATGGGTGAAATTGGGAATCATCATTCTCAGTAAACTATCGCAAGAACAAAAAACCAGACACCGCATATTCTCACTCATAGGTGGGAACTGAACAATGAGATCACATGGACACAGGAAGGGGAATATCACACTCTGGGGACTGTTGTGGGGTGGGGGGAGGGGGGAGGGATAGCATTGGGAGATATACCTAATGCTAGATGAAGAGTTAGTGGGTGCAGCGCACCAGCATGGCACATGTATACATATGTAACTAACCTGCACAATGTGCACATGTACCCTAAAACTTAAAGTATAATAATAAAAAAATAAAAAATAAAAAAATAATAAAAATAAAAATAAATTGCTGTTTACATTGGCACTCAAAAGGAAAAAAGAAATACATAGGTATAAACCTAACAAACTATGTACCAGATCTTTATGAGGAAAACAAATAAATATATACATATGCAAAACCCTGATGAAAGATATCAAGGAAGAACTAAATAAATGGAAAGATATTCAACATTCATGAATAGGAAGACAATATTGTCAAGATCTCAGTTCTTCACAACTTGATCTACAGCTTTGATGCAATCCCAATAAAAATTCCAGCAGCTATTTTATGGATAATGACAAATTGCTTCTAAAGTTTAGATGGAGAGGTAAAAGACTATCTCAACATGGAAGGAGAAGACCAAGGTTGGAGGACTGATACTACTCAACTTCAAGACTTATTATAAAGCCACAGTAATCAAGACGGTGTGGTAGTGGTGAAGAACACATAAATCAATGGAACAGAATAGAGAGCCCAGAAACAGATCCACAGAAATATAACTGATCTTTGACAAAGGAGAAAATGGTGCTGGAACAACTGAACATCAATATGCAAAAATGAACCTAGACACAGACCTTACATCCTTTACAAAACTTAATTCAAAATGGATCATAGACCTAAACATAAAACAGAAACCTAAAAAACCCCAAAAGATAACATAGGAGAAAACCTAATGGACCTTGGGTATGATGATGACTTTTTAGGTATAACATCAAAGTCATGATCTGTGAAAGAAATAATTGATAAGCTGGACGTCATTAAAATGAAAAAAGTCTTCTCTCTGAAAGACAATGTCAAAAGAATGAGAAGACACACCACATACTGGAAGAAAATATTTGCAAAATACACATCTGGTAAAGGACTGCTATCCAAAGTATACAAAGCACTCTTAAAACTCGACAATAATAAAATAAGAACTGAATTTAAAAATGGGCAAAAGACTTGGACTCCTCACCAAAGAAGGTATACAGATGGCAAGTAAACATGTGAAAAGATGTTCCACACCATATGTCCTTAGGGAACTGCAAATTAAAACAACAAGACAAGATTACATAGCTATTAAAATGGCCAAAATCCAAAACATTGACAATAGCAAATGCTGGCAAGGATGTGGAAGCAACAGGCACTCTCGTTCATTGCTGGTAGGAAAATAGCACAAACACTTTGGAAAACAGGCTGGTAATTTCTTATAAACCTAAATATATTCTTGCCATATGATCCAGCAAGTGAGCTTCTTTGTATTTATCCAAATGAATTGAAAACTTATAGCCACACAAAAACCACATGGATGTTTATAACAGCTTTACTCATGATTTCCAAAACTTGGAAGCAACCAAGATGTCTTTCTATAGATGAATAAACTTTAGTATGTCCATACAATGCAATATTGCTCAGCATTAAAAAGAAACGAGGTATGAAGCCATGAAAAGACACGGAAGGTGGTCTTTGGGTTGATTCCATGTCTTTGCCATTGTGAATAGTGGTGTGCACCTGTGGTCCCAGTTACTTGGGAGGCTGAGCTGAGAGGATTGCTTGAGTCCAGGAGGTCAAGCCTGCAGTGAGACATGATTGTACCACTGCACTTTAGCCTGGGTGGATGAGACCCTGTCTCAAAAAAAAAGACATGGAAGAACCTTAAATACATACTGCTAAGTGAACGAAATCAATCTGAAAAGGCTACATACTGTATAATACCAATTATATGACATTCTGGAAAAGGGTAAAACTATGGAGACAGTAAAAGGGTAAGTAGTTGCCAAAGGTTACGGGGAGGGATGAATGAATAGGTAGAGCACAGAGAATTTTTTTTTCTGGGCAGTGAAACTATTCTACATGATACTAACAAGGGTCGATTCACACTTATCAAAATATATATATTTATACATTTATGCAGTATTACTATCCATTATATACTTATCAAAATCCATAGAATGCACACTTCCCCAAGAGTGAACTCTAATGTAAATGATGGACTTTGGGTGATAATGATGTGTCAATGTAGGTTCATCAGTGGAAACAAGTTTAGGACTGTAGTGCAGGATGTTGATAGTGGGGAAGGTTTTGCTGGGGTGGGGGCATATGCAAGCTTTTTGTACTTTCCACTTAATTTTACTGTGAACCTAAAACTGCTCTAAAAAATAAAGCTTATTAATTTAAAAAAACAACAAAAACAAATACCTGATGAGAAAGACTGGCCTCCATTGTGCTGGAGGAAGTTCTAAGAAAAAGAAATTGTAAAGAAATGAAATGACAAAGGTGCCACAAATTATGCCTAATGATTACTTTTTTGGTTGAAAACTGGGAATTTCTGCCTTCCTAACAAGGATGAAAAGTCAGATAATTTGTGGTGAGGACTCAAAAAGAACCTCAAAAAGTGGGATAAGAAGGTAGATTAGGGTCATCTGGCTATATAAACTAAAGAAAATGAAGGCAGATTATAGCCTGAATCTTTCCTTGGTACTATTGCAGCCAAAAACAAAACAAACAAAAAAACCTCTCTAGATGTATCTGTAAGGTAGTAAGATATATGCAGGCAGTGTGTATGTGTGTGTGTGTGTATACAAAACACACACATTTCTCTGCAGAGAACTTGCTTATTTGTAAGGGTAAAGTGGGAGGCAGGGGGAGCTGTTCTGCAGCAGGAGAAGGAGAAGACATTCATATGGCCAAGAAACATGAAAAAAAGCTCAACATCACTCATCACTAGAGAAACACAAATAAAAACTACAAGGAGATAACATCTCACGTCAGTCAGAATCACGATTATTAAAAAGTCAAGAAACAACAGATGCTGGCCAGGTTGTGGAGAAAAAGGAATGCTTTTACACTGTTGATGGGAGTGTAAATTAGTTCAACCATTATAGAAGACAGTGTGGTGACTCCTCAAAGATCTAGAAGCAGAAATACCATCTGATCCAGCAATCCCATTACTGGGTACATACCCAAAGGAATATAAATCATTCTATTATAAAGATACATGCATGCATATATTCATTGCAGCACTATTCAGAATACCAAAGACATGGAATCAACCCAAATGCCCATCAATGGTAGACTGGATAAAGAAAATTGTGCACATACATACCATGGAATACTATGCAACCATAAAAAGGAATGAGATTATGTCCTTGGCAGGGACATGGATGGAGCTGGAAGCCGTTATCCTCAGCAAACGAACGCAGGAACAGAAAACCAAACACTGCATGTTCTCACTTATAAGTGGGAGCTGAACGATAACACATGGACACATGGTGGGGAACAACACACACTGGGGCCTGTCATGCAGGGCTGGGAGAGGAAGAGCATCAGGAAGAATAGCTAATGGATGCTGGGCTTAATGACTAGGTGATGGGTTGATCTATACAGCAAACCACCATGGCACACATTTACCTATGTAACGAACCTGCACATGTACTCCAGAACTTAAAGTTGAAGGAAAAAAAAAGAGAAGGAAAAGAAGAAATAAGAAAGCATTTAGGGAACCTCCCTCCTTTACCTCTCTCTATAAGGATAAGTAGCTGTGAAAGTCTGATGAGCAGCCTCCTAATCAGTTGCAACCAGAGCTCTCTCATACTGCTATGTTAAATGCAAATATAAAAGATGAGCCTTTGCTTTCATTTGATTCTTGATATGGGGGTGACAACTTTTTGGAAGACTCAAAAGAATGACAGTGATTTCCTGTTAAAAGTGACAGAGCTTCATTAGGCAAAAACAAATAAAAGAAATCTCTGAAAGGGAGAATGGGTGGAAGCAACCACAGGGTGTTCAATAGGAAGAAAATGAAGCCCCAGTTTTTCATAGAGAACAGGACAGAGGAAAACGAATCGAGATAGTTCTCACTGCCTTCCACAGAGCATGTGTTCTATATACTTTGTTGAATGAATGTTACAAAGATGACTGGACAACATAAAATGTTTGAGATAATGGTGTCATGATTCTTTCTTTTTCTCAAATTGGGCCAGAAAGACTGATCAGACCAAATCTTCAAACTGAATTCCAGGAACTACAAAGTCTTCAGCTCATCACACCCACTCTGCTTCCCCAGAAGTAGAGCCTGAACTGTGAGTCAGGGCTAGCAAGGATGAGAACAGGTAACCCATATGCTAAGTATGGGTGATTTTTCTGATCACAGAGGAGAGCTACAAAATTTTGGAATTTAGCCAGTTTCCGCAACCACAATGATTAGAAAAGAGAGACCATCACTACCAAAATCAACAGTCCCCTGCATTTATGTTGTGTCCTTTAGACTTGTGGCGGGGCACAAGTAGGAAGCTTTGAAAATGCATATCCTCTGTCTTGGGTCTAAGCTGGAGAAATTTAGCAACAGTATCTACACTTACAGGTGAAAATTTTCAGAGTGGTTGACAATTGGTTCCTGAAAACATATGCCTGAAGAATTGTTTGAGAGCCTTATGAAAAGCCACATACCTAACATAGAAGTTGACCAGCCTCAAGGGTATGGAAAACCAACAGAACTAGGGTCTATAAAAAGTACAGAATGCATGGCACAAATCCTGAGCTCACTGTTCACATCAGCATCAACCCTGAGACTTTTAACAAAAACCATCAAAAGGAGTCCCTATCCTCTGCGGTCTTTAAGGGAATCCAAGCCCCAAGGGGTCTGATTGTTCTCCAGTGACTGGCTGTTCCTTAGGAAATCCAGTGCCTTACTACAGTGCTCTTGAAGCCTGTTCCTACTCAGCCATTCTGTCACTTGGCAGTAGCCTACAGGCTATTTTTAGTTTTCATGTTTGTAGACCCTGAAGGGGTCTACCTGGTACCTCCCCACCTCTCTCCATTACCTCTGTTTGTCCAAGAAAACAGTCACCTCAACTGCACAGGCTACACTCAGCAAATGTTTATAAAAGAAGCAAACAAGTGGATGGTGATTTACATGGGGTGTAATAATTGCATTAAATGGGAACTGAATCTGTTCATCAGGGACCTAGTGCAGAGAACAGGGAGTGCCTCTCCATTTTGCTGAAAAACTTTGCTTCCTAAGTGCAATCCCACTAGCCAATCACTGATGGTGTGATGTTCTTTAACTGTTGCTCTGCTTCTGTGGGAAGTCAGCACCGTGGCTTTAAATGAAGACTTCAGCCCAGACCCCCAGAGGCTGAAGATCATGCCATAATTTTATTCTCATGTATATTGAGATTTTCGAGCTTTCAGTAAATATTATACAGCAGCAGGACTTTCCTCATGCCTCATAGTCTAGAGCTGAGGCCAGGAGGATTTAGTTTCAGTACTTGAAAAACCCAAAATAGTTCTGTTAATTTAGGATGGCCATGCTTTCCTGAGATGACTGAGGCTAGTGCTGCTGTGCTGGATAAACATGGTGAATGGAGGGACAGTTGGTCTACAGAAATGGAAACTAAAAATAGCATGTAAGTTACTGCCAGGTGACTGGCTAGGCTGGCTATCAACAGGCTCCAAGAGCCCTGCAGTGAGGTACTGGATTTCTAAAGCAATAGCAAGTCCCTGGAAAATAGGCAGACCAGGGGGCTGGATTTCCTCAATGAGCAGGAGTATCATGAAGGAGGTAAAAGGACACTCTTTTTTATGGCTTTGGTTAGAGTCTTATTAGGGTTGATGCCACCTAGATGTGCACTGAGCTCAGGGTCAATGCTATGCATTCTGCATTTTTTTTATAGGCCCTGGTTCTGTTGGTTTTTCATAACCTTGTGGCTGGTCACCTTTTATGTAAGGTACGTGGCCTTCCCTGAGGTTCTCAGACAATCTTTCAGGAACATGCTTCCAGGAGTCAATTGCTGACCACCTTGAAAGGTGTTTCATGAGCTATATCTTGAAAGATGAGTAAGAGTTTCTGCAATAGATGAAGAAAAATTATTCCACGAGGAGGGAAAAAGCACACAGAAAGGCAGGCACACAGCTCTACAGGGACCCCACTGTGGCTTAAATGGTGTGAAACTTGCCTTAGTGCTGGGTAGAAACAGGCAAGGAACTCTGCTTTCACCTAAGAATTATCATTATTCCAAAGAGTTGGTGGGAAATAGTATGCTTAAAGTATTTGTTTAGCAGGAAATATATTTGGATTTCAGGAATTAAAAATAATCTGACCCAGAGAACTAGATATTCTGAGGACAGGGTGGCAGCCCCACCTCCTGATATTCATGACATTGTATAATTGCCTCACTTTAGCAGCTTGTCTTTGACCAATTGAATAGGGCAACACTGAGGTGTGTCATCTTCCATGAGTAAGTTACAAAAGATTATTACTTGTGACTTGCTAGCTGACTTTCTATTGCCTTGTGTTCACACTTTTATGAAGCAGCTACACTGGAGAGGCCCCACATGGCCAGGAACTAAAGGTGACCTGTGTCAAACAGCCAGTGAGGAACTGAAGTTCTCAGTCCAAAAGAGCATGAGGAAATGAATCTTGCCAACAATCACTGAGTGAGCTTGGAAGCAGAACCTTCCCCAGTTGAAACCTCAGATGAAACCACAGACCCTGGGCTGATACCTTGATTTTGGCTTGTGAGAGACTGAAGCAGAGGACCCAGTTAAGCTATGCATTTTACTTTTTGTGTATCCATTGTATGTTTTTTGATTTGAGGTTACTACCATGAAGCTTTCATTTATTTTTTTTATTATTTTTATTTTATTTATTTACTTTTGAGACAGAGTCTTGCTTTGTCACTCAGGCTGGAGTACAGTGGTGCAATCCCAGCTCACTGAAACCTCTGCCTCCTGGATTTAAGCGATTCTCCTGTCTCAGCCTCCCGAGTGGCTGGGATTACAGGTGCCCACCACCACACCTGGCTAATTTTTGTGTTTTTAGTAGAAGCAGGGTTTCACAATGTTGGCCAGGGTAGTCTCAAACTCCTGACCTCAGGTGATCCGCCCACCTTGGCCTCCCCAAAGTACTGTGATTGCAGGCATGAGCCACCACACCCAACCCCATGAAGTTTTCAAATACTATCTTATAATTCATCATTTTAAGCTGATAACAACTTAACATTGTTTGCATAAACAAAAAAAAAACTAATAAAAACTCTATACCTTAACTTTGTCCCTCTGCTTTTTTTTTTTTTTTTGCAGTGGCGCAATCTCAGCTCACTGCAACCTCTGCCTCCCGGGTTCAAGTGATTCTCCTGCCTCAGCCTCCTGAGTAGCTGGGACTACAGGCGTGCACCACTTCACCCAGCTAATTTTTATATTTTTGGTAGAGACAGGGTTTCACCATGTTGGTTAACCAGGATGGTCTCAATCTCTTGACCTCGTGATCTGCCTGCCTCGGCCTCCCAAAGTGCTGGGATTACAGGCATGAGCCACTGCGCCTGGCCTGTCCCTCTGCTTTTTAACTTTTTGTTGTTTCTATTTATATATTATACTGTCCATGTTTTGAAAAGTTGTAGTTACTATTTTTTTGATTCATTCATCTTTTAGTCTTTCTACTTAACAGCAGTTTACACACCACAGTTACAGAGTTGTAATATTTTTCAGTGTACTTACTATTACTGGTGAGTTTTGTACCTTTTGATGATTTCTTATTGCTCATTAATGTCCTTTTCTTTCTGATTGAAGTACTCCCTTTAGCACTTCTTGCAGGACAGGTCTGGTGTTAATGAAATCCCTCAGCTTTTATTTGTCTGGGAGTCTTTATTTCTCCTTCATCTTTGAAGGATATTTTCACCAGCTATTCTATTCTAGGGTAAAAGTTTTTTTTTTCCTTCAGCACTTTATGTCATGCCACTCTCTCCTGGCCTGTAAAGTTTCCACTGAAAAGTCTGCTGCCAGATGTATTGGAGCTCCATTGTATGTTATTTGTGTCTCTTCTCTTTCTGCTTTTAGAATCCTTCCTTTGTCCTTGACCCTTGGGAGTTCATTAGATGCCTTGAGGAAGTCTTCTTTGGGTTAAATGTGCTTGGTGTTCTATAACCTTCTTGTACTTAGATATCGATATCCTTCTCTAGGTTTGGGAATTTCTCTGTTATTATCCCTTTGAATAAACCTTCCACCCCTATCTCTTTCTCTATCTTTTCTTTAAGGCTAATAACTCAGATTTGCCCTTCTGAGGATATTTCCTGGATCCTGTAGATGTGCTTTATTGCTTTTTATTCTTTATTCTTTCGTATTCTCTGTGTATTTTCAAATAGCCTGCATTCAAGCTCACTAGTTCTTTCTTCTGCTTCATCAATTCTGCTATTAGAAGACTCTGATGCATTCTTCAGTATGTCAGCTGTATTTTTCAACTCCAGAGTTTCTACTTGATTCTTTTTAATTATTTCAATTGCTTTGTTAAATTTCTCTTGTAGAATTCTGAATTCCTTCTCTGTTTATCTTGAATTTATTTGAGTTTCCTCAAAACAGCTATTTTGAATTCTCTGCCTGAAAGATCACATATCTCTGTTTCCTCCAGGATTGGTCCCTGGTGCCTTAGTTAGGTTGTTTGGTGAGGTCATGTTGTCCTGGATGGCCTTGATGCTTGTGGATATTTGTTGGTGTCTCGGTATTGAAAGGTCAGGTATTTATTGTAGTCTCTGCAGTCTGGGCTTGTTGGTACCTGTCCTCCTTGGGAGGGTTTTGCAGTGCTTCAAAAGTACTTGGGTGTTGTGATCTAAGCTCTATCTGCATTAGGGGGCACCCCATGCCCAGTAATGCTGTGCTTCTTGCAGACCTGTAGAAGTAGTACCTTGGTAATCTTGAATAAGACCCAGAAGAATCCTCTGGATTACCAGGCAGAGACTCTTGTTCTCTTCCCTTACTTTCTCCCAAATAAATGGAGTCTCTCTCTCTCTCTCTCTCTCTCTCTCTCTCTCTCTGATGAGCCAGCTGGGGGTGGCTCACAAGCACCCCTGTGGCCACCACCACTGGGACTGTGCTGGGTCAGACATGAAGCCACCACGGCACTGGGTCTTGCCCAAAGCTCACTCTAACCATTACCTGAATGCTACCTATGTTTGCTCAAGGCCCTAGGGCTCTACAATCAGCAGGTGCTAAAGCCAGCCAGGCTTGTGTCCTTCCCTTCAGGGTGTCAAGTTCCTCCAAGCCCCCAGTGAGTCTAGAGATACTGCCCAGGAGCCAGACCCTGGAGTTGGGAACCTTAGAAATCTACCTGGTGCTCTATTCTACTGTGGCTGAGCAGGCACCCAAACCACAAGAAAAAGTCCATCCCACTCTTCCTTCCCCTTTCTACAAGCAGAGGAACCTCACCCCATGGCCACCACACTCCCAGGCTATTGCTGATGTACACTTATGGCCCAAGGACCCTTCAGTCAGCTTGTGATGAATGCTGTCTGGCCTAGGACTCACCCTTCAGGGCAGTAGGCTCCCTTCTGGCCCAGGGCAGGTCCAGAAATGCCATCTAAGAACCAAGGCCTGAAACTGGGGATCCCAAGCACCTGCTTGGTGCTCTATCCCCCTGTGGCCAAGCTGGTACCTAAGATGCAAGACAAAGTCCCCTTTACTTTTTCCTCTACTTTTCTCAAGCAGAAGGCACTTTCCCCCATAGCCACCACACCTGGGAATTCGCTGAGTCTCACCGGAAGCCAGCAAGTCTGTCTCAACCAAGGCCCACAGCATACTACCTGGGTATTGCTGCTGGTTATTCAAGGCCCAAAGGTTCTTTAGTTAGCAGGTTATGGGTCCTGCCAGGACTAGGTCCTTCCCTTCAAGGTAGCAGGTTCCTTTCTGGGCCAGGCTGTGTCTAAAAATGTTGTCCAGGAACTAGGGCTTGGGATGGGGGCCTCACAACTCTGACTGGTGCCCTATCTTACCGTGGCTGGGCTGGACACCAAACTGCAAGACAAAGTCCTTTTTTCTCTCTCCTCTCAAGTGGAAGGAAGGGATCTCTTTTGGAGCCACAAATCGTGCTGCCTGGGGTTGTGGAGGGGTGGTGCAAGCACTCCCTTAGATGCCCTGGCTGGTGTCTCAGTAGGTCACGTGCCCCTCAAGTCTACTGGCTCTGAGCCTAGTTCAGAAATAGAATTTGCTTAAGAGTTGCAGTTCCTGTGGTCTAGACCACGTTTTGAGTTTATTTAGGGTCCTAGAACACTTAAGCCTGTGGTGGTGAGGCTTGCTGGAACTCAAATTCTCACTACTGGGATGGGTGATTTCCCTCTGGCTAGGGCTCCCTGCATGGGTGTCAGCTGTCTTGCCCCTTCCACCGTGTGAGGACACAGCAAGAAGTTGGCAGTAAGCAACCTGGAAGAGGCCCCTTACCAGAACCCCATCATGCTGGCACCCAGATCTTGAACTTCCCAGCCTCCAGGACTGCAAGAAATAAATGTTTTGTTTGTATTTTGCTATGGCAGCCTGAATAGTCTAAGACAGGAGGCATATGGTTTGATTTGTTCTAGTATTGATGATGTTAGGTTTGGTTAAAGTGATGCCTTAACCTATGGGAAGATACTCTGAGGCAATGAAAATATCCTGTTCCTCATCAAACTTTCACCTACTAGTTTTAGCAACCATTATAAATTTTCCAATGTCAATTCCTTCTATATTTATAAACTGTCATTCTTCTGTAAGAAAGAACTTTACCTTCTCCCATACGTGTTTACATTAGTATAGACTAATTAATTCTTATTTTATTTAATGGGTTATATACATTATTATCATTATTTATTTGTATGCTCAAATTATCCCCAACTTGATCAGTGGTGGCCTCTTTACGATGGCTGCTGTATCCTTTTGATATGTCTTCATGATTCTTTGAGTACTTCTAGACTTTATGGCACAGAAGAAGTTCTATGATAATCTTATACCTCCTGTGCCTCTGCCTCTTATTTAAAAAATATTGAAATTTGCTCTGGCAGACAATTTACTGGCAGATCAGCTTGATCCTTTTCAATGATTTTCTAACCTTTGTAAAGGTGGGACTAAAGTGGCCCTTATCTAGGTCTAAAGTAGTTCTACCCTACAGTGTGGCCTTTGCATGTCCATAGTGTTCAATGAGGTATTTCCATTTTGACCACTTGGACTTCCTAACTCTAGCAGCACTGTGAAACCTCCAGAAATTCCATTCAGTTCACAGCTCTCCAGCAAGTGACCTGAGCCAAACCTTACAGGGTCTCATTCTGTTACCATTTGGCCAGAGACTTAATAGGCACACTATGCATTTTCCTGGTGATTTTTTTTCTGCCCAGCTGCCTTCTCTCAGGTAACCTTCTCTGAAAACTCCACCTACTTCAACAGCCAGAAATGCTGATCTTTGGCTCCTAAGCTTGGCTATGTAACTGTGCTCTGCTTGGACCCCCTACCTCTCTGCATGTAGTCTACAAGATGCCCCCAGGCAGAAATTGTGAAGCATTTCTCATGTGTTCCTCCTGTGTAAAGAGATCACAGTCCATGGCTGCTTATTGTCCAGTTTGTGCATGTACTTTGCCCAGTTTTATAGTTCTTTACAACAGGAGGGCTAATGTGGCTCAGTTACCCCATTATTATCCAAAGTGGATGCAACTTGTATTCTTTATAGAAATTGAATATAAAATAGAATCCTTAACATGATTATACATACACGAGTGCATGCACACACACACACACACACACTTTTAAAGGTCTCATTATAAGAGTCATCAATAACTACAGACCCATTAAAATCAAGAGCATGTGAACTCTTGTATTAACCAATAAAATTAGATAAGAAAAATAAGAGAGAGAAAAAAATAGAAGGAAGGATATAAAAATTATTATGTTCATATGATGGCAACAAAGGAAAATAAATGAAAGTTTTAATCCTGGTTAAGAGCTTTATACATAGATTCAAACAGCATTTATCAGGTTGGTACAAAAGTAATTGCAGTTTTTGCCATTAAAAGTAAAAATAGCAAAAATAAAATATATAGGAATAAATCCTAATTAAAATCATGCCAGAACTATGGGAAAACAATTTTACAACTCTTCTACGACTCCCACTTGCAGTCAAGATGGAGCAAGAGGGCCCATATACACCCTACTCTGAAATAACTAAAAAACTAGGCAAAACATACAATGACTCTTAAGATATTAGACATCAATCAATAAATGACAGTGATCACTGAGAAATGGGAAACCAGCGAGGTGTGCTCTACAATAATGTCAGCTTACAGCGTAGACAGTTTCTAGACTGTGGTGCAAGGAGGGGAAACTCAAAACCTTGCAGTCTCCATGAGTTGAGAAGATGGAGGTGCAAGTCACAGAAGGGTTAGGCAGCTAGAATTTGCAGGGCAGAGTACCTGAGAAGAGAGAGATGGGCACAAAGAGAACTCTTGAGATTTGAAGAGAGTTCCCCTCTGGTATTCAGCAGATGACTGGTTGATATATGCATGGGAGAAAAGTATCTGAGGTGAGATTAAAAAAAAACAACACTTGAAAAATATAAGGGTATAATACCCAGAGATCATGCATAGAGGCAGGTAGAGTGCCTATGCCAACAGCAAGAGTAGAAAACATCATAATAAATGGGACACTGGGTAAAGTAGCAACAAAGGCCTTACCTTAGTAGTGAGTAAAAATTAATCCTAAATAGTTATGGGTCTGCCTAATAAAGCTTATAAGGATTACTTGAAAAAATCAAACTATTTCCAAGCAACTGAGCCATATTTGGGAAACAAAGTGCATGAATATTTATAGGGAAAAATGGTAGACTAGGAAGCTCAAAGCCCTTTTCTTCCACAGAAACATCAAAAATAACCAGAAACTGACAAATATCATAACCTTATAGGAGATCTGGAAAACAGTCAAAGGTCTAGAAAAAACAAGCAAATGTCCAAAAGAGAAAAAGCCATATTCAAAACAGTAGAAAATTTCATGACATTTTTACTTGCCCTTGCCTGACCACTTCTCCAGTATGGCAGTCTTGGTCTGGAAGAAGTGGCAGCCCTGTTTTCAATTCCCCCCTCAAACTGAAAGGAACAGAGCAACCCTTATTTGCAACATTCTAGGGGATGTTTAGGGGATGCCTGAAGGACTGGTCTCCGAGTCACCTAACTCAGACTTCAGGTGGAGAGAAGTAGCAAGTGCCATTCATGAAAACTTCAAGAGGACTGCAGACCCTCTGGGCAAGAGATTATGAGAAAATATATATAGTAAACTGTAAAAGGCCCCAAGCAGTAGCTGTATGAGACTTTTTTGAGAGATCAAGACATTAAAAAACAGCTGTGTAAACCAGGAATTGAAAAAGGCACCCAGGCCCAGGCAAGATGTGTGCTCAGAAAAGACCTTAGAAACCTTCAACTTTTATTCTGAGCTAATCCCTTTTACTTTAAACTAAGTAGATCATGCTTACCTAATTAGTAAAGAACTTCCCTGACAAAGAGTCAGTCTGCAGAGTGTGAGAGAGGTAGCTGAATTTTCAAATGTTCAATTTTCAACAACAAACAACAACAACAAGTCACTAGGCATACAAGGAAACATGAAAGCACCACCCATTGAAAGGAAGAAAATAAATAGAAACTATCCTTTAAAAAGCACAGGAATTAGACTTACTAGACAAAGACTTTAAAAAATTATCTTAAATATGCTCAAAGAGCTAAACAGAAATACAAAGAACTAAAAGATTCCAAACCAACCCAGAGTCAGGCTGGTCCACAGAGCCCCAGGCTTCATGCTTGCCCCAGTGCCAAGTCAGCACCCTTGGGCTCAGGCACCAGGCTGGCACCAACAGACACAGGCTTCAGGCCTGCCTAGTGTTTGGATGGTTCTTACATCCTCACCCTCTTGGCTGGCCCCTGCAGCCACATGCTCCAGCAGATCCAGGGTCCAGGTCTGCTCT